>NC_000004.12:80133502-80285017 GCF_000001405.40 Homo sapiens | reverse complement strand
TTAAGAATTCCTGTACTAGTTAAGACTACCAGGTTTCATAATTTCAAGGAGTACTATTTACACAGAATTCCCGTGTTTGAGAATACCAAATATTTTGTCCCCTATATATAAAAACACTAAAAGCTACATACTTCTATATCAAACCAAGAAGTTTTATACGGGAATAAAATGGCCTTTTTTTCCTTGTTTTTTCTAATAATGCCAAACTTTTCTTTGAAATACTGATCATAACACAGAAATCTAAAAATCTGAATATTGCAAGGCAATCTACATAGATCCACTGTTGAAGTCCACATGGAGTTTCTGAGCAGTGCAGGTTACTGACAGTAGTAGAAGCCAACCAATATCAGAGCATTTCCAACAGCACATTCACTTTATGTACAATAGTTTACTGGAGTTACTTATATTTAAGTGTAGTTCAATCAACAAAGTTCCATTGGCAGGTTATGAAGCCATATATGTAGATCTTCCACAAGTCTACTGGTGAATCTCTGGATATGATCTCGAGCAGGCTGAAGGCAAGTATTTTTTGTTTGTTTCTTTGTTGTTGTTGTTGTTGTTGTTTTGTTATTGTTGTTGTTTTTGAGACAGGTTCTTGCTCTGTTGGCCAGGCTGGAGTGCAGTGGCATTATCTTGGCTCACTGCAACCTCCATCTCCCAGGCTCAAGCAATTCTCCTGCTTCAGCCTCCTGAGTAGCTGGGATTACAGGTGTGTGCCACCATGCCCAGCTAATTTTTGTATTTTTAGTAGAGACGGGGTTTCACCATATTGGCCAGGCTTGTCTCGAATTCCTGACCTCAGATAATCTGCCTGCCTCGGCCTCCCAAAGTGCTGGGATTCAGGTGTGAGCCACCGCACCCGGCCGAAGGCAGGTATTATAAACAATCACCACCTATGTATGGCATCCCTTTCACCCTGTCTACGATACACCTTGCCAGCCTGCATTTAGGCCCGGACTGCTATGCTGACATCACTTTCGAAGACCACACATTGACTATTCCTATTTTTTATTAGAAAGACTTGCTTACAAATTCATTGTAGATTTGTCTACAGCTGCTTAGCTCTTAAAATGGTTTTCCCATTTAATTAGATAATCCCAACATTTTATTTCAAAATAAAAGCTATAGACATCTAGAATGTTTCTGGCTCTATAAACAGATCACAAGAATTTTACAAAGGTGTGAAACATTTCATTAAAAAGAGTATCAGGTATATTTATCTTGTCTCGGGTTTTTTTTTTCTTAAAATGCAGTTGAATGACATTTTTGAAAATGTGTAATACATTATGCCTTGATCTGACTTCCAGCTCTGTTTCACAAAAACAGCGGTGATTGCTTTACTCAATTTTGACAGAGTTAGGTTTTTACAATGTACTACATTATTTAATATTTTCCCCCAACAGTGCCCAAGAAAATAAAGAAAGAACATGTCATTTTTAACTAATGTAGATGACAGGCACACACACACTCATGCACAGGTGCATGTGCAGACACACACCACAGCATTTCTTTTTTTAAAACAGGAATCTATATCATTTCCATTTTAGGATCTTTCATATGAGTGAAACCCACCTGCCCCACCCCCTACAATTGTTTCATCTAAAATCTTTCTCTTTTCCTCCTCTTTTCCTCGAGATTCATATTCTAAAGTTCTTTCTTAAGAGGAGCCCTTTATGGAGATGGCTATTTGGACTTCAGATTTTTCAAAGGTCACCTAACTGTTACCCAGGGTAGAAGTGTGTAGAGTTCTAAGGATCTACACAGTACACACAGCCCCTCAGCCATCCAAATCCTACATTCTACATTAATACGGGAGTAAACGCAGTTAGACTGTTTTGGCTTTCTTAATTAACTTTTAATTTAATGTTTTGTCTGAAAAATTATTCCAGCTGTGATGGAACACAGAATCATTTGAAACAAACATTTCAGTGAATTTACTCATCTTGAAGGATTGACTATTCCTGTTAGTATTCCCGGTCTGGCTCAGACAAGATGGTGACCCTAAGCAGTATATCTCTATACATAATGTTGTGCATGGACCATCTTTATAGCAAAGAGTCATAGGTCTTAGCTAGAGGTACTAAAATACATACATTTACCATTAGAAAATTTTGGACAATAAATTTTCCAGGCTGATTTTTATTTTTTAAATCTTTTTTTTAAATTATAAGTCTTCTAATAAAATATACACTTTTAAAATGATAGAACTCCATTATTTTTCTAGAAAAAAAACCCCTGAAATTAACAGACTTTTTCTATAGTTAAAGAGTATGAAGTAGAGAGATGAATCAAATTTCAGATAAGTTGCTGAAATCAAGACTCCTTCATCTAATTGCCTTACCACCATCAGCCACTACAATGAAAGCAATTGTTTAAATATTTGTTTAAAAAGTTTCATATTCATTTTTCACTAATTTATTCCACAGATATCACATGCCAGGCACTGTGCTAGGTGCCACTTTTACAGTGGAAAACAGTATTAACATGGTCCTGCCCATGTTTTTGTTGACTTAAATTACATTAAAATCTCTTTAATTTCTCCTTGATCTGGCAAGAATAATAACAGGTTACATTCAACAAACCATAATTGCAAAATTAAAATGAAATGTTTAAAATCAGCGTTTTTTGTACTTTAGTATATACTCCTAATTGACAAAAAAAAAAGAACTTTAAACAAATCGAACTATTTTTTCTTGAATATCCAGATTATTACAAGGAGAGGAAACACACTACTATTAAGAGAAATAAGAACTTTCTGCTGGGTACGGTGGCTCACATCTGTAATCACAGCACTTTGGGAGGCCAAGGCGGGTGGATCTTTTGAGGTCAGGAGTTCGAGACCAGCCTGACCAACATGGTGAAACCCTGTCTGTACTAAAAATACAAAATCAGCCAGGTGTGGTTGTGCGCGCCTGTAATCTCAACTACTCAGGAGACTGAGGCAGGAGAATCGCTTGAACCCAGGGGGCGGAGGTTGCAGTGAGCTGGGATCCTACCATTGCACTCTAGCCTGGGCAACAAGAGCAAAACTCTATCTCAAAAAAAAAAAGAACTTTTTCACTAGAAGTAAACTGTGGCTCTCCTCACCCCTTCTCACAGTGAAGGATCAATTTTAAACAACAGATATTTTTTGAACGGTCAAATTGAATTCAAAGAAAGCACAACTCCGATTAACTACAATATTCCAGAAATGACTAATTCTGCCAAGCCAAAATTAAACAGGTCAATTAAACCAAATAAATTATTTCCAAAATGATATTGTTTAAAAAAATCTCTCTAAAATCCCTTCTTGTGGTTTTGTTCCTTAGTAAATATCACCATCTATGATGATTGAGTACCTTGTATAGTATGAATTAAAGCTGTGCAAATACCGACTCTTGCGTGCAACTACAGAACTAAATATGTAGGATATGAGATATAGAAATAGGAGTGAATTTGAACAGACACCAGTATAAACCTTGGAATTTGTGTGTACTTAATCAATTTTAATGATTTATTTCAGCTTGTTTTCTTTGATTTGCCCCTTTCTCCTGAAAAACCTTATAAAGTTAAGGGAAAAAAAGCCAAATATAAATAATCAAAATGTTGTTATAGACTAATATTATTAAATAACAAAAAGGTTATCATAGACTGTAATAAAAACAACTATAGACCAAATTTTGCTCTAAACTAAGTTTCCTTGTCACATGCATCACTTCTAATTCCCCTCCCTCCTTTTAGACCTGCTTGGTTCCCATCCCTTCCCTCCACCAATGGAGCTGCCTGGGACAGGTACCCTAAACTCAGTTCGTTTTTTATACTTGTGCCCTGGTACAGGATAGCAAGCACCCAGAGGGCTACTTCTTACTCTTTACTATATAAGCTGTGTATGGGTCAGTTGTAGCCTTGCCATGCTATCTCCCAGGCACGGCCATATCTCCTGCTTGGTACTGGACATTCGTTCCTTCTATATCTCAGTTCTTCATACTGAGCAACCAACAAAATACACAAGTTGGCTTTAATATCACCCAACCTGAGATAATGCAGTAAAGAATATCAACTACAGGATCTCTTTTCTTCACTTACATAATTTGCCTTCAAATTACTCAGAGAGCAGGCTCAAATGCAGCTCCTCAAGCCCTATCTCCAGGGACTGTGTTTTTCTAAGTCTGAGGTGAGACCCTGGACTTGATGTATCATTAACCAGCATCCCATGTGGTTTTGATACCCTTGAAGTAAGGACCACACCAGGCAAAACATGGTATAGCATGACTTTCTTTCTGAGGCCCTTAATAACTCCATATAGCTGGACTATTGGAGACTACTCTGTGTCAGGTGGTTTACATATATAATTTAACTCACAGTAATTCCATGGCTGCTATTAGGATAGTATTATCTGATTTTTTTCAGCCAGAGAAGTAAAGAAAATGATCCATCTATCACCCTGCATTTATTAAGTGCCAGAATAGACCTGTGATTTAAATTGCATCTTCTGATTCCTAGACTAAGGGTCTTTCCATAACACTATACAAACCAAAGCTATTGCCTAGTCTTTGCTCATACAATCTTACTTGCTCTGAAGTTGTTTCCTGTTAAAATATTGATGAATGACAAGTGTCACTCTTCAAATCATCAAAGAAATATATTACCATGTCTCACTTTCTGCTAAAATGGATTTCTGAATCTACAAGGCAATCACATCCAGATTTCCTCAATAAAATAGGTCTTTTAACTAGACCTCCACAGTGCAAAACTGAGGGGAAACTGGCATTTACTGCGAAGGCAGAGTTTAAACCCATTTTTGTGCCTGAATAGCTAGACATTCCATTTTACTGTATATTGAAAGCTCTTAGAGGGCAAAAAAATATTCTTTTCAAATGCCTTGATCTAGCTCATGCATGGTCTTGACTGGCAGAGTGGAGTGCTTAGTAAGTTATTTTTTGATGAGGATGATAAGTATTACTCAAGCCTCCATTTCCCCTTTCAGTAAATATGTTCAGCTTTAGGGGCTGCTGACTCCTCTTCACTCTGCCTGCAGCGCAGGAAGTCCATTCTGGAGTCTCATCCCAGGCAAGCCAGCTGGCACCCTCTGAAACCAGGAAAGGAGGATGATCTATTCCTTGCTTAGGACTGATCAAGCACACATTCCATGCCTGTTTCATAAAGTCTGCAATTAGCTTTCCTTTCAAACATGATCCCCTAAAACCCTGAGAAACAAAAATAATTCCACCACATGCTTCTCTCTGGATCTTTAAAATAAGGTAACATGTTTTTCCCTAATTAGCAATGAGCTTTCTGCATACTTTATGAAAAGACTGAAGAATACATGATAACCACCTTTTCCAAGATTTATATATTTAGGGAAAAATCAAGATGGACAACAGAGCTATGAAAAAAGTCACAAGATTATAACCATAGGAAATCCATGCCTCTTTAAGAGGTTGAGCTTGGAAATTTTGCTTTGAAATTAGGTTCCTTGGTGAAAGGAAAACTTAGTAGATAAGGGACACCTATAAGCACACAAAGTTTGGACGTGAGGAAGAAAAGGTCAGTGATAAATAGGAGTTGGGGCTGGCCTGAATAATTTAAGGGTCACAGTTGCCTGACCCCAAAATCAGAAAGAAAAAGATTAAGGATTGTCAAACAGCTGCCTGAGAGCAAATTCAGGAAAATCTGTTTAAACATTAAGTGTGGAACACTTTTCAGGCAGTACTCTAAGTGTTTTATGTGTATTATCTTGTTTAAAACACTTAACTATCCCAATAGATTGTGACTTTAATTTTCCTTCTTTTGTAGTTGATAAAACCAAGGAATAGAAAGATGAAGTAAAATGACACAGTTAGGAAGTGGTAGAGTAGGATTCAGCCTGGGGCAATCTAACTGTGTCTTTACCATCACACTCAAGGCCTTTCACTCCTAGTCTGGACCCACCTCAGATAAATCCAGAAAGGCTCTCTAGGGGACTTTCAGTAAGGATGCCAACCTCAGGAGGGAGCAGGGACAGACAGACAGATAAAGGGAGAAAGAGTGCTCAGTCTCAGAAGGTATCTTAGCATGGGAATGTGTTGAGAAAGAGAGTACAGGCCACAGCTGTGGCTTGGAGTAGCCCTCATGGCTCTTTGGAAAGTAATTATCTCCTCCTGCTCTTGATGATTCTTGATACATTTGGACAAAGAGAAGACCATACATCCTCATCCTTGTAAAGAATGCTGAAAAACCTGCACGACAAGAATTTGGTTGCACTGCATATTTAGAGTATACCAATAAAAGTTTGAAGGAGAGCTGCCTGTAGATCAGGGGCTTGAATGAGTCCAGGGAGCCCACATTTAGATGGCTGAAGCTCAAATAAAACTTATCTGATGGGATTAATAAATTTAGCACAAAAATGGAATCAGCATCAATGCTGCCTGAATCTGCTCTGGCCTACCCTTTCAGTCTGCCATATTTGTGTCTATGGCAGTAAAATATTTACTAAATGAAGTTTTCTGTGAGCAAAACAGATCTCTTTTCTGTTTTGAAAGTTTATCTCGGGAGGCAGGAGTTCCCTATGCAACTCATCATTGACAATGAATAACCAACATTTGTAAAATTCTGTGGCAGACACATCCCCTCTTCTCTAGATTCTAAAGTAAAGTACTGGAGACCCAGGAGTAGATGGGGGAAACACCAGTTCAAAAAAGGTGATATGAATCAAAGAGAAAAAGAGGTACCTAGAATGGGGAAATTTACAATTTTAACTATAAGTCTTAAATTGCCTGTTTATTTGCCTATTAAATAGAGTGCTATAAATATTCTAATGATGTGCCACAGTATTCATTTGTATATGTAATACAAAAATATTTTCACGCACATATTAATTTCTATACACTAAGAGGTGAAAACAATGTAATTGATTCCAAACAAAATTTAATATCTTCTTTGAAGCTAACTTTTATCTACCAAGCACTATAGCATTTAAAAAGAAAGAGAAAATTCTAGGAGGATATAGTTCTGGTTCAATCACTTGTTAACTGTGTAACCTTGGGAAAATAATTTAACATCTATGAGACTCTTTCGTCACCTCATTATCTAATGAGATAATGTGAGCAAAAGGGCTTTTAAAGAACTATGAAAGTACATTATCTCTGCCTAGTAGCTAATTTTTAGTACTCTGATTATTATTACAAAAACTGAGTTGAATATTTACAAGTATCCATGAATATTTCTCAGTACAGTGGGGGATTACTTTTCCCAGAATTCTATTAATATTTTATATTTTTAGTTTACATTTGCTTTGTAGATAGAACCCTAAAAGTACCCTTTAAATGCCTCCGCAAAATTTTTAGTTTAAAGCAACTCACAAATTACAAGTTTAATCCTAAAAGTCTATGAGTTTTTAACCTTTTTTGGGGATGATGTAAAGTCGTAAAAATCAAAACTATTAACTAAATCAAATAGTCATATTTAGAGTTACAAAAACAATTTCCCAGCATGTTTAACTAGAATGTGAAAACAGGAAAGAAACCAACTGGGCATAAAACTGGTAATTGCTAGCATTAATACTATTTCTAAATTCAACATCTTTAAAAAATAAATCACTTTATAATTTAATTAGGTTTACACCTAGAGGAAAAGTGCTAATAAATGCTCAGATAAGAGAAAGTGGGCTTGGATAATTGGTTTAAAAAGAATCCACATAATCATAGGCTTAATATTTTTATCTACAATTTAGCTCAAAGTCATCAGAATGACTTTTATATCAAAGAGCTTCAGTGAGTGACAAGAGCAAGACTTGCTTTGTACTGTTTAAAAGTCATTATTCTATGAAATAACTTTAGCCTGCCAAGATGAGAAAGAATAACAGATGCTGTTTTTGCATTATCTGCATTATTTCAACCAGCCATCCTTAGACATTTGGGTCAAATTTCTAGAAATTTGTTACTTGCCTTTGACAGAGGAATCATGTATCTTAACCTCTCAGTTTGACCTTTCTAATTGGCTTCCATTTGTAATATGTTACTTTCTGTGGCAATTATCCTTAAGCTGTTCCAAGTTTAGTCTATTTTTTTTGCATGTACTATGGCATAAATCAGAATATTTTGAAAGTTAAGATTTTCACTCAAAACAAACCAGTAAGAGAAAGTTTCTTTGTATGCACTGTGTACTATTATGAGGTTAGATTTTAAAGGTGTTTTAATCTTTTATAAACTTAAAGTAGACTGAGGAAAAGTTATTCCGTTTAGATGTGTTTAATCATTGTTTTCAATTCTGTATGTGGATTTTTTTTTTTTTTACTTTTTTTTCCAGCCCTCGTGAGAACTCATCTGTATGTGGATTTTAACTAATATTTTAAAATAAAATTAAATGCCCTGAGAATGATACATTGGACTTTGGGAACTCAGGGGGAAAGGGGAGGGGGCTGGGGGTAAAAGACAACACATTGGGTACGGTGTACACTACTGGGGTGATAGGTGCACCTAAATCTCAGAAATCACCACTAAAGAACTTTTTCATGTAACCAAATACCACCTGCTCCTTAAAAACCTATTGAAATAAAAAATAAATTTAAAAAAGTAATACCCTACTTTTTTCACAGTGATGCAGAATGTTGTCCCTTAAACAAATGAAAAAATTAGAAAAATATATTTCTATGAATATTATACTACATCTTGCTAGAGTATAGTAACCAGCTCAAAAAATGAAATGGTAAATTGTTTAATAGTTCTTGCAATGAGTGATTTAAGTGTTTAACAAAGGATTTCCATTTATGTTAGTAAACTGAAATTTTAGTAATTTATTATATTTAGATTATATTTAGATTGTTAACCCTATAATAATAGGCAATATTTATTGAGCACTTATAACACACCAAATAGTATTCTTAGCACACTGCATGTATTATCTCATCGAATCCTCAAATAACTATAGAAATTGTTCAAATTCTGTCTCTTCCAAAAGATATTAACAAATCACTTTAGATGTTAAGAAAAGTAAAATTATAAAAGTCTTACACATTAAACCAAGTGGCGTTCTCATTGAATTTTTTAAAGATCTATCAAATCAAATTATATATAGTAAGTTTCAATTATTGCTATCAATTGAAACTTTCTATAACTTTGAAAACTGAAAAAGTGATATTCCAATAATTTATTTAATAAAGACTATAAAGAATCAGGATTAAAGGACTAACTTTAAAGAATAATTGCTTTCAAAATGTTTTAATGTGAAGAAAATAAGTATGCCAGAGAAAAAGCATAAAGCACCTTTAAGTGCAGCGTGTATATACTAATGCAAATAAATAGAATCTGTGAGTGGGAAAACTAAGCTGAACATATTTTATTATCTTTAAAATGTTTTAATACTTCCCAGGTAATGGGAACTTTCATAACAAAGCAAATAAATAGTTTGTGAATTGATTACAATATATAAAACTGGTCTGAATAAATTTTTGAGAATGCAAAATTAGTTTTCATAGTATTAAGAAGTCTTTATTTTTGATGTGACAAAAATACAAGATAAAAATTCTTCAAATTAATTAAATAAAATTTGTCTATGAAAGTCAGAGTCTTCTAATTATTGGTTTTTTCCCTCCCTGCTTGTTAATATGAAAATATTTTACATTACTGAGACCCAATTTGGTATTATGAGTAGCCTGTAAACTTAAATAAGAACCTCATCTACTTAGCACAAATACAGTCACTATAAACTTGTAAGTTTAAAATGTGATGAAATATATTATTGCCATATTCCTTCTTACGTGGGCCACTTCTAAGAAATAAGTGGATGGCTGCCCCTTTGAGAATGCTGTTTTCAAATACATTTATGCTTAAACTTTTTGTAGACTCTGTAATATCTTTTAAGTAAATTAAATATTTAAATTATTACTTCTGGAAGCGCACAAAATTATCTTGGTTAAATGTAAAAATACTTTTTAAAAGTTAAGTTCTTTGGGCAAATTTTCTTACCTATGAATTTGGAAAATTATTCTGTTTTACAAATGTAAAATCTTTATAGCACCTTTAACAAATATAAAGTGGTTCTACTTACACTTGCATGGAGTTTTCCTTTTTTTGACATCGCTAAAAATTTGTTGCTGAAAACTCCTCGTATTCCTACAATCCCCTGAGACACAGCAAATATTTCCAAAACACCTAGGATGACAGAAATCCCAAAATAAAACACAGGCTCTTATTTATATCATTGTGAAGAATTAAATTTCTACATAGATTCTTTCCATTCTTTATTATTGTGATTTTAAAAAAGAACTTAGTATTTAACATCCTTATTGTTCATGACATTCACTATGTTAAAAACAAAGAAGGCTAGGATTCAAGTGTTCATTTAAAATAATTTCAAGATTCAAAAATTTGATTCTACTTCATCAGTAATTATTTGGACAAATAAGTTGCTTTTAGTAAACAATGAGCATGAAGTTTTCTCAGGTTTTAAAGAAATTAAAAAGACATTTAAAAAATGTTTTTCAAAATAATTCTCCTCCATTGTTTCTTCATCAAAGATAATACACTACTTTGAACATTAAAGCACAAATCTGTGCTCAAGACTAGTATAACTATTTGAAAGTCTGGAAAATAATACTTATTTACATTAAATAAATTCCTCTACTCTAATTATCAAGGTTATAATGGTAGTTACAAATAAACATATACCATACTCAGTCTTTTAGTGACTGCATTTAAAGACTACATATAAGATACTGAAAGCATTATAAATAACTTGAAATTATTGGTTCAATGAAATGTTTAATGGATTATGCTTTGAGACATCTTGCATTTTGAATCATTTCCTAGAAAAAAATTAATGAAATAATTTATTACATTGTTGTATAAATTTTGTATTTTATAGTTAGCATTATGAAGTCAATGTCCCTCTGTCTCCTACAGTAATTTCAAAATTCACGTCCACTGGATCAAGAGAATTACACACCACTGTTCATAGAGTAGTTTAATAAGATAAAACACATAGTCTGCACTTAATTAGAAAGCCTGCTTATTTAACATAAATTTATGTATTTTATATGAACATGAAAAGAGCATAATGTGTTTTATTAGTTGTCTATTTCAAAATTTTTAAAAAGAGACTTTTAGCTCAATAGAGCTATAATGTGTTTTATTAGTTGTCTATTTCAAAATTTTTAAAAAGAGATTTTTAGCTCAATAGAGCTAAAAAGGGACCTGTCTTAGAAAGGAAAAAGGGAAGCCAGGTGCAGTAGCTCACGCCTGTAATTCCAGCACTTTGGAAGGCTGAGGCTGAAGGATCGCCTGATACCAGGAGTTCAAGACCATCCTGGTCAAAATAGTGACACCGCATCTCTACTTTTAAAAAGGAAAAGAAGGAAGGAAGAAAAGAAGGAAACAAAGAAGGAAAGGGATGGAAAAAAGAACATCTCAATATTTCCATCTATAATATTCTAAGCATATATACTAATTAGGATATCTCAATAGGACTCTGCCAAATAGAGAAATTCATCAGATTTTCTTGAAATAGCAAACTCTCCCTGCAGTATTTGAGGTATATATAAAATTATTCTGTTTACCAAAAACAAGAAATATTTTATAAATATATGTGAGTAACTTTATTGAGCATTTATTTTGTGCAATGTGAGCTAACATCTATAATTCTAGCAAGCACTGCTGTTTATTTATTCAACTTGGTTTCTTAAAAAACTTGATTAGAAAGTTTATGTGAAAAAGGGGATAACTGAACAGCTTATTTAAAAAATAGATGTTTTTAGCCCAAAGTAAATAAAACACACTTTAGGGAAACTGCAGGTACCAGTTCACTAATAGGTGTTTCTTTAAATTGAAAAACAAAAATCAAAAACTATTGGAAACTACTTTTGCTTTTAGAAGGAAACTGAAAAAAAAAACCACCAGTGCTGTATAAATCCTTTCCTTCAAAATGTTTTTAAATGCTATTTATAATAGGATTTATTATGAACATTGTTTGAGTGTGCTTCTAAAGGTTTAGAAGCATTATCATTTTATCAAATATTAACAAAACACACCAAATGCTTTGTAAAGTTACTCTACACAGATGTAATATGTTATAATAATATTATTACTAAAGCATGACTATAACAGTGATACAAAGTTAAATTTCTATTGGAAATACGGAATGATATTGGGAATAGCATTAATGATTTTAGATATTTGGGAGATGGGGGATGTGATTGTGAATATTTATGTAAACATGTGCATTCAAAAATGAGAAAGAAAGAAAGAAGGAAATTGTATATGTGTGGAATGATGGATACAAAAGGGACAACATGGAGTTGATACAGGAGAGATTTGATTGTATATTTCCTCCAATTTACTCATGGTGCTAGATTGTTAGAGGCTTTTAATTCCATTCCCTGGAAAATTATCTGGTTTTGAACATGCAGATATATTGTATATTAATGAAAAAATACATGGCAGAATAAAAGATTAAAGTCTCATAAGTGTATGTGTTTATATGCTAACTTTTAAGATGTTGAGATAAAAAGGCTTTATAAATATTTGTTTTAATAGAAATACTACTGCTTTGCTTAAATAAATAGTTTCTGATAATTAGCTCATTCTCTCTTTAAACAAAGACCCATTTAGATGCATTTAACATGTATTTCAATACAGTGTACACTCTGTGTATATATTATGTACAAGTTGCATGTAATGTATTTTAAATATGGGGAAGATGAAATAATATATGTGAAAGTGTTATTATTGTATTACATATTGCTGGGTTTCTTCTTAAAACTTCCAGGATAAAAATGATATAGTGCCTGAGAATTAAAAGATTTTATAACCTTAAGAAAATTATCTTTAACTGAAAGCTTAAAAATACACTTTACATATGTCATTCTATTTAACATTATAAAGAATGCAGGAGATGTAAGAGATGAGACTAGATGAATGAATTATTTTTCACGTGAGTAACTTTGGTATTGATCTTCTAAATCTTACCGTAATTATGACCTAATATTAAGAACACTGTTATGATCATAATTTCCAAAGTAATGTCAGCAGTGATTTCACAATGCCTTGTTTTCTGGAGCAGATTCAATGAGTCTCACAGTTCAGTTTCCTGCCCTCCTCCCCAAAACATCACAGGCCTATTGATTTTGCTATGACAAATCTCAGTAACTCATTCAGGAATTCTACGTAATTTTTTAAACCCATGTGCCTTAAATCACAAATATATAAATTTCTGAAAACATTTCTCTGACATTGATTTTTTTTAATTTCAGTAATTTTCTGACCTTTATCATCGGGAGTCACGCATATTAAATTTGATGGAAACTTACAATTCTCCTTATGGATGCCAAGGCAGTATTTCTAAGCCAAACTGTGGAAGGCCAAGCTTGTCTTGTAGATGGTATATAGTCAATGACTGTTTGCTAAATTTGACTGCCTTCTTTGATCCTCTCACTACCTCTCTTTTCTCTTGTCAGGACACCCCATGCATACACAAGTATGGACAGGTGTCTTAGTACTCTCCTGCTACTGTGGCCTTCTCCTGCTTGAGAAGGCACGGGGTGGACGGGTGGCTCAGTGTAAATAAATTCACATTAAAGTGCTACAGACAGTGTGTTATTTTTCTTAAGGTGTTCCCATTTAAGAGGGTCAAAAGAAGAGGAGAATGCTTAACAGAAGGAATTATTCTCTTTGTGGAATTTCAGCATTGACACCTAGGCTGAAGAAGGCAAGAATGTCTTGGTGTCTCTCAGCTTATACACACAGTCTATTCCACTTATGCATTATGATGTAAGCTTACTTCCGTAAAAAAAAACATATTTCTAGATTTTTGACTTAGTCCTCTGCAGATTTCTTAATATAATAGGGCTCTACTGATAGTGGTTGATACAACTATACACATTTTTCCTTTTTCTCTCTTTTGTTAATGAATAAAATATAGAAAAGCACAGATATTCCATGTATTCAGAAGCTTTCAACAACGCATCTGAAAATCCCCAGACAAAAATATTTTAAAACTGAAGTTTCTCTACTTGCATCCACAAAGTAACAGATATGCTGTGCCAAGTTATGAAATCTGAATCTTGAAATATTCAGTTTAGCAGTCTTCACTGATTAAATTAGCAACAGAAATTTTCCACTTGATTTTTCTGCATAGTAGATATAGATTCTGATTTATCTAGGCTTGGGGGACTGTCTAATGACTCCACATGACCCCAAAATTGGTAGTGAATTTAGATTTTTTTAAAAAGCAGTAACATCGACGATTCTATTAACCAAAATATGTGCTTGGAATTTTCATATTTTATGTAAACGCTTTGACAAAGCCTTAAACTTTTCTTCCCTAAACTGACAACTACTTGATTGCCTATTCTTCAATGGCCCAAGGTAAGTCAACAGAAGCACTGTATTGACATTAAACTTGAAGGCGTATAAATTAAACCAAACCATTTGTTTCCATGCAATAGTTGGGTCATCTATCTTGCCTTGTTCATATTTCTTCATTTTTCCACAGTATTTCCTCATAATAAGGATTTATATACAATGAGCTTGATTTCATTTTCTGTGTTCAAAACTTGGGATAATTATTGTGTAAGAGAAGCTAAGAGTATATTAATTGGTCCATGTAAACTAAACAAATTATGTTTGAAAGTCCATGGCCATGGTGCACTTCTCATGGTGAAACCAGAAAACATTTGCAATTTGCAAAAAAAAAAAAAAAGTTTACTGTCAAATAATAGTTTGCGAAACACATATGATTATCTGTTCTATCAGACAAATACTACAGAATATTATTAGGTTTAAAATAACTTGTTAGAATGCAGTTTCATGGCAAAGCTTTGACTTTTCTGAAGTATCAGGGTTGTAACAAAAAGAATAGGTTTTCTATCATCACTAACTCACATACAGTAGAAATAGAAGATGAGATCAAACTGAGGTATCCTCTGTGGCCCTTGATCCAGCCCTCTCAGCCTCTCTTAGGAGATTTAAACACATTTCCTCACATACTCTAAGAAAGGCCATGGCCAACACCTTAGTTTACACGAATGTCAGGAAACATCAACTACTGCCTTCAAAGAGGTAAATGACCAATTGTAATTAGCAAGTTTCTGTTTCTCTTTTACAGCTAGGTAATGGCAGAGATCCATGTTAAATTCCCAAATTACATGCAAATTCTGCATTGATCAAAGGTAGTAAAAATTTTATGAAGTAGTATTAGACACTCCAGATATCACAAAGCAGAAAATTACTATGATTTGAATATTTGCTATGCTTTCTTCTGGGGAAAAAAAAAAAAACTCTATGGAAGACAAACAACACAAAAGTAACCAAAATATCATGCTTAGTGAGATAGGTATCTTATATTGGGTACATGATTTATGGCATGAATGAAAGCAAGTCATGTGAAAGACACAGAAACTAAACTCTGAAAGGTTATTGTAAACAAGAATAAATTAGGAAAAAGTTTAAATTAAGCTTTTTGTCGGCACTGTTTTAGGAAACATCCCTGTTCTCTTGTAGATATCTTTCAACATGGATTTTAAAAGAAAATGTACATGTTACATACTGGGTAGTGGTCAATGTCTTGTTTATCTGGGTGCACTCTTTTTGATCTGCTCTTATTTTCCCCCCTTTGCTTTTCTACAACACCCCCTCTAGCAAGGCCTAAGCTGTAAAACTACCTTCGTCTCATATAGTGTCTTCGTAGAGAAGATGGTGAATATCCTGGGAATGAGCCTTGCTTTCTGAGATCTCTAGCACACCTAAACCCTCCCCAGAAGCATTCTCTGAGCTCCCTGGGCTCCAACCTGCTGCTTGCTGCCTGCTAGTTTGGGGTCCGCCCTTGAGCTCACGGAAGTTATCCTCTGTTGGTGCTCTGTCATGTACCCAGGGAGAGTGGAAACATAGCCAGGAGACAGCAGCGCGCACAGTCACCTGTCTTTCAGTGTCAGCCTGGTTGCTCCTAGATGTTCCTAACTTGCTCCATCTCAGACCAATGACTCCACGGGTCGTTACAAGAAGAACAGAAGAAAGAAAGTTTTCTTGTAAGAGAGAAGGAAAGGTTGCCGGAAGTGGGAATAAGCTGTGATGGCTGATGGAGTCAAAAGACCGTTGAGACAAAATGAGAAGGACGAATGGAAATAAATAGATGTTACTGATTATTCCTCAAATCTCAGAAAATTCCATTTCACCCCAACAGATCTTGCCCTTTATCCCCCAAATGAGCAGTTATTCGATGAGTGAAATAAACTCTAAAATATGGAAATAGATTCCTCTCGGGAGTGTGAGGGAGGCCCTGGGACTCGCTGGTGCGTGTGCGGAGGGCCCTCTCTCCAGCTGGGCGCTCCAGGCGCCCTCACCACGTGCGCCGCAGGCTGCTGAATCAGCGCGATCAGATAGACTAGACAGGCGCAGAGGGGCGGGCATAGACCTGCTTTTCTCTCAGCATGAACCATCAGGTCTTCCGCATTAGGCCCCCTTAACCCACCGGAGGAGGCTAGCCAGCCTACCGCCTTACCCACTTGCGCGCCTCCGACCCCCCTCTGGAGACTGCTGGCTGCCAAATCTTCAGACCGCCGGTGGTGTCCACGCTCCTCTGGAGCCTGTGTAAGAAGGAGCCCAATGGCCCGTGGAGTCTTTGGTCTGAGATGGAGCAAGTTAGGAACATCTAGGAGCAACCAGGCTGACACTGAAACCAGGTGACTGTGAGCGCTGCTGTCTCCTGGCTACATTTCCGGTCTCCCTGGGTACCTGACAGGCCCTGGCTGGGGCTCTGCCTGGTGGACCAACCCGCGCTGGAAGAGCGATCTGGCCCTACTGAGCAAAAGCCCCACAGAGATCTCCCCACTCCTACTCACAGCCCCAAACCGTCCCTGCCCCCAGCTGCCTAGAGGCAGTGAAGAGAAACCAGAGGAGTGGCTGCGATGGTCTGGAAACATAGATGGGGTGGAAGGGAAGAGGAGATGAGAAAGGAAAAAAGAGAGCGTGCTGAAAGAAAAAACTCAGAGGGAAAATTTAAAACTTTGTTTATAAAAAGTCCTACAAAATCTGCACCCCTACCAAATTTAACCTCTGCGTTTCTTCTAAAATAAGGAACTTTCCCCTAACTGTTCTTGGGGACCAAAGGCTGGCCACTCTCCTAATACGGTGTAGTCATGGTCTCAAGATACTAAACATTGTTAAATCCAACTCTGGAGTTAGTAATTTCAATGTTTATCATGTCTCCCTCTCTAAACGCGTCCAGTTTTCTAGAGCACAATCTTCTTCCAAGCAGGAATGTCTGTCTGGTGTCCCCTAGTTATCTATCTGTCTGTCTATCTATCTGTGTATCTATCTATCTATCTATCTATCTACCTATGTGTATACATTGTATACATAGACTTATATACATATATACATATACATATACAATATTAATTTGAGGTTTATGGTAGCGGATGGAAGAGGGAAGTATTTGGGATTTGATTCTTCTTTTCAAAAAATAACTTCAGTTATGGATAGGGAGAAGGGCTGCCTTTGATGCCTAATGAAAAATGCCAGGCTAGTTCATAAGCAGAAGGTAAACAAATTGAGTGAGAAGAAATGAGTTTTTTGTTCTCTCCTGTCATGGCTGGGGACTCGTCTTTGAGGCTAGAGCAAACTGAAAACAAGGTACCCGTCTGGGCACCAGCCTCTAGGTAACATACACCTGAGAAATCGCAATTCCTCATGCCCAGGAGAGGGGTGCGTGTGCGCACGCCATATAGATGCATCTCCACCCAACCCGCCCGGCTGTTTCTGAGTATCAGCTTGGTCCCAGTGGCCTGGGCTCAGGAAGGTGAGCCTGTGTCCCGGCGAATACCTGCTGTCCCTCCCGAATCTTCCGCGGCCGCCTAGGACGGGTTTTGTAGGAGAGCGAGTAACTTACTTAACATATTGGCTTCGTGGGATCCATTGACTTTGCCATCCGGGTAGATCTGCAGATGGAAACCGATGCCCACTCTGCAGTAGAGGCTGCCGGTCCGGCGCCCCGAGGGGCTCCACTGGAAACTGCTCTGCTCCAAGCCACTTCCTTGGCTGCCCAGAGAAGCTGCGGGGGAGGAGGAGGCAGAAGAGGAAGACATAGCGCTACTGCTGCTCTGTCTGCTGCTGGAGCCTCTAGGGTTCCTATCAGTGGCAGCGGGTCCGGGTTGCCCTTTGGGGGCGAGACGCTTCTCCCCGTGAGCCCAGGCGCTGAGGATCAGGTGGCTGAAGAAGAGGAGGAGGAGGAAGGACAAGCTCATTCTTCCAGCCGCGGGGGTCCTAAGTGCATCTTGTAGGGCTGATTCTGGGCTCTGTAGCCCCTGTGCGGCTGCGTGCCTCTGGCTCTGCCCGCCTCGCCGCACCGGGTGGACATAGCCTCGGGGAAGAGAAGGGGAGAGGGGAAGAGAGAGGCCACCCGAGCGGATCTCCGCGCTGGCACCGGGATATTTATAACGCCAGTGATCTCACTGCTCCGTGCACGCCTGCGAAGCTTCCCCTCACCCGCGGCTTTGTGTACTCACTGGCCGGTGCGGGGAGGGAGCCTCGCGGTCCCGGGGGCGGGGGATGTGAAGGAGGGAGGAGATCCGAGCGAGTGAGTGGGAGGAGAAGCTGGGCTGAGAGAACCTGCGCCCCGGACGCTGGGTGCGCCCATACCAGGGCCACGCATCCCAGCAGTTCTCTCGCGTCGCGCGGCCACCCGGATTCCCCGACTAGGACCAGAGCCGCGTGGAAACGAGCTCGGCGTTAGCAGCTGAGTCCTCCAGGGGCAGCGATAGAAACGGAGGGTTGAAATGTGGAAATGGGTCCTTGTCCTCTCCCACCTCTACAGCACACTTGTGACTGGGCAACGCACTCTTGCCCCCCAGGACACGATTTCCAGGTTCTCCTCTCTTTGCCCTGTAAACCCTGCTATCTCGTCCTCTCTCTGGGAGCCCTTGGAGAAATGCGTCCCACCAGGAGATCCCACTGCTTCTACGTCTTTCGGCGTTGGAAAACCAAACAGGGATTCGCAGCCCAACTTGGGAAGCCTTTGGTGTGGCGCGGTTCGGGGAGAAGGCTGTTTTTGCTGTTATTAGCGATTTATTAAAGAGCTAAGGAATGGGTTTATTCAGCGTTTAAAACGCCACCCTGAGTCATCATGCCACGACTGGAGCTGCTTTCTTGTTGGAAACTCTCGGCTGCGCTGAACATTATGACGAATTTGTTTTTCCTTCTGGGAAGCTCTCCGTCTGTATTCGTGAGAGTGAGGGCACACGCACCCCCGCGCTCCGACCGGGGAAAGAGAGGCAGCGGCTGGACACCAGCACATGTAACTGACCGCCCAGTTGTCCTCTTTCGCCCCAGGATCCCCGTGGCAGGAAGGGTTAGCTAACTGCTCGCTTTAGCTTACCCAGACCTGCCATTGACTGAGGGACCGACCTCAGTGAATGATTAATGACGTGCGCGCTGGATTTCAACCTCAGGAAACCCGAGAAGGGAAAATTTCCTTGAGAACAGAGAATTTCCCTGTACGGGCAACGTCCCCAGACTGTTATTTATCTGGGAAATACACCTGACTTGCATGCTTGGAATGTTTCTGTCTAAAAACATATTTGAAACTTTAAACTAAGCTATGATACATTATTCATTGGTTATTTTAATGAAACGGCCCGTGCTATTGACTGATAAGGTCAATTCAGATGAACCAAGGTTGAAGCTAAGAAACGGCCTTACCCATTATTGAGTACCTACTTAAGGTTTTCCATCTCAATAATGAAACGCATATAAAACAATGCAGATTTTTCAGGTTTGGAATCTTCCACCGCCAGAGTAACATCAAAGTACTTGTAAAACAGAAGGTTACCTGGAAAGTGTAGTAAAACCACTGTGATAAAGAAAGAGGACATCACACATAGATGTGCATAACATGGGCACACTACATGAGATACTGTCCAGAGCTGAACACACCCCCTGTCCACTGTTCTAGGCTCAAGTTATATACTTCTCCCTTAACTAGGGTGGGTAGGCAGATCCTTACAAGGCAACCCTAAAAGTAGACATTGAGAACAGTCACAGTATCTCTCAGAATGGTCTACTTGACTGAAATCACCTTCTTCTGGGGAGGATGATTGTAGGATGGTTCTGAACCTGGGTGCTGTTCCTTCTTCAGGCAATGCCCTGAGGTCTGTGGCAAAGCTGTCAGGGTTTAAGCCACATTGATGCTGCTGAATGCCATTTGTAAGTTCCCCCATGCCACGCAAATACACAGCCCATTCCTCAAGTGACGAAGATTCTCCAAAGCAAATCCAGCTGCTTGTTTCTCCCTTTCCTTTTCCCAAGGAGTCTGCTGAAAGAGGAGGAGAGTGGTTCCTGCCCCAGCTGCACTATCAGCCCCCTGTCTAAACCCAGGAGGTCAAGAGGACTCTGGAGTCCAGTTTCTGGAGCTGTTATCAGCCTCTTGTCTTTGCTCCCTTCTCTCAGTTTCTGCAGCCCCGCCTGCACTGAAACAACCATCCTTGTTTCCCTCTCAACTCCCGCAAGAGCCAAACTGGGGATCAAATCCTTGCCTAGGGATGACCCAGGAAGGCAAAGACACCTGCTCAGGCTTTAGTCTACCTCAAACTGGAGGATGGCAAGATACACTTTTCTGGATTCCAAGGGCTTAGAAAGAGTCAGGGGCTCACTAAAAGGAGACAAGTGACCAGCTGTTGTGGACAGTGATTGAATTTGGCAAACCAGTCCTCAACGCCCGACTGTCTTCCATACTGGGGTGGGAGGATTGGGGGTTGGGCGGGCAGCCGAATGTGCCCACATACTCGGGGCTTAAAAGGAAATCTCCATTGGTGATCATAAGTGTGTAGGGTGGATGCTATTAAACTTTTTTTTTCACAAGAGAGTTATGTATTGGGGCCATTAAAAAAAGCTACAAAAACTGAACAGTGAAACATGAAAGACAGCACTGCGCTTGTTCCGTGAGCTGAGCTGCCAAGCCCCCTTCCTCCGCAGCTCAGCTGAGAGACGAAAGGGTCGCGCTATGCGCCAGGGCTGCGCCCGCCCTGGTCTACATCCTGCCTACCACTCTGAGCAGCCGATCTTCGAGAGCCTCTGTCCACAGCAATTCTGCAGTGGGGAATGTGGGGCGGGGAGCTATCTCAATTTACTGTTTTGGCTACCTCGAGCCCTACTCCTGTGAACTCCACCCAAAAGAGCGCAAGCCTGCACCACACTTTCTCTGGCGACTTTCCGAAAAGTTAATCGCCCAAAGCCCCCTGCTGGGGACATCTCAGCTTTCCCCATTAAGCCTCGGAGCTTGGTCCAGATCTCCAGGTCATGCGCGGATTCGAGCCCACAGCTCAGTTCTCCAATTCCTGCGTTCTCCCAGCCAGGAAAGCAAGGTTGGGAGAAGGCGCAAGCGCCCTGCTTCCTGCAGAGGTAAAACAAACGGCCCCGAAGATTAGTTTCCACTCATCGCCACCTGACAGACGACGGAAAAACTACCCAACAGATTAGCAGATTCCACCAGTCACCTAGGCGCCAGGCAGTGAGTGCGCGGGCTTCGGCTTAGGTCCCCACCCCCTCTTCTTGAGCTCTCTTTCAGCGGTGTCTCACCCCACTAGGCCTCACATTTCCTAGACCAACCCCCTCAGGGTCACTTTTCCTGGACCCCAGCATCTGAACTTTCTTTCCAGGCCTCCCCTATTTCTGTGTGGAAAACTGGTGGTGAATTTCCCCTATCCCTTTCGTAACTACAAGTGTGATCTGGTTACTAGAGACAGAAATCAATGCAAAAGAAGATAAAGTTACCGGTAACCTCTGGTTGGAACCCAGAAGCCTAAGAAAAGAGAAGTCAGGGTGTATAAGTCAAGTCAGAGCCCAATATTTCCTTCACTCTAGAGACCGTCTCAATATTTACAACATTCCCCTGGGTTTAAACTGAGGCCAGGCCTCACTGAGGCAAGGGTCCTGAAGGCAAGACTGTTCATCCTACAATGTCTCATGCTGGGTTGGAAGGACGGACAAGAGATAGATGATGGAATAGAATGAACAACCCTGGCAATGCAAGCCACTGTCCTGGGAGGCTGTCTGACCCAGGAACCAGGCTGCCACTGTGCCAGGCTGATCTTACACAGACTTCTGTTCCAAGAGCCTCAGTTACCCCAAAATCTCCACTCCTGGAGGTGCAGGTGCCATGAGAAATTTGCCTGTTCTGAGCTTTAAGATGACTGTACAGTTTGAAGGCAAGGCCAAATTTTCTTTGTTTGATCCAAAGAAAACCCAAGGATTTTTAGAATGCTTTCCTGGGATAGCTGTTTCAAACATGGTCCCAAAAGCCTCTGCACCCCACCCCTACCCAACTCTATATTCCTATCACCCTTTCATACTCTCAGGCTATACCCAGATAGTACTATCTTTTGTTAATCAGGTCCTGGGAGCCCCACAGTGGCCTCTAATTGCATACACTTTTTAGTAGAGACTGCTATGGACTGAATGTTTGGGTACCCAAAATTCAAGTTAAAACTCTGTTCTTTTATGTGATAGTATTTGGATATGGGGCTTTGGAAGTTAATCAGGTCATGAGGTGGGATTAGTGCATGCCCCTCTGCCTCCCCCTTATAAAAAGAGGAGAGAGCTTTCTTCCTCTCACAACCCCAATCCCTCAAATGAGGAAACAAGGAAGGAGTCCCTCCATGCTGGCACCCTGATCGCAGACTTCCCAACCTCCAGAACCATGAGAAATATGTTTGTTGTTTAAACCATTCTGTCCATGGTTGTCTTGTTATAGCAGCCCAAGCCAACTAAGACAGAAGCACAGTGCATTGCAGGACTCGGAAGCTAACCTGGTGGGGGCCCTCAGTCCAGGTTCTTGCCAGGACCCTCTATTTCCTCCAGGCCTGGCTTCTCACCAGCCAAGTTGGCAGCAACTACAGCAACAAATAGCCTGTGGCTAAAGGAGCACTGAGCTGGGAAGGGCCGGCTGTGTGAGGAAGAACCAAAGACCAAGAGGGACAGAAGAATGTGTGCAGTGTCTACTTTTAGGGTGATGAAGGTATAGTTACAAATTGTGCAAGTCCTGAGGTTAGACTTCTTTCTCCAGGGTCCAGTCCTTCCCTCTGAGAAGAGGCCTGTTTGCAAAAGGCCATTGGCCACTGGACATTATATCTGTGAAGTCAGAAAGTAAAACAGCATTTGCTACTAAAGAGAGGTACTTTGTGACCTAAGTGAACTCAAGGCAATCAGTTTTTCTCATAAAGCCCAACTCCTGTGCTTTCCAGTTATCCCAGTGACTATTTTTGTTTTAGCTTCTGGTACATCCATGCACTAAGTCCCAAACCACTATAGACCCCCAGTTATCCTAGCCTGCATTACCCAGTTGTAGGGAAATACTTTCTCTTAAGAACTGGAAGCCTTTTATCCTGTCTAAGGCCAGCCGTAGAAGATAAAGGATACAATTCCCTGTACTCCTTACACATGCATATGAAAATCATGATTTAAAAATCATACCACCTTTCCCTGCCTCCCAAATAAAGTCCTCTCTGCTCTTTGTAATGGGTTTTCTTACTGGTACAGTCTATATCTAATAATGTCAAAGGGGACATTCTAAACATATGTGGAGGGGTGCAGTACTTCCAGTCTTTTTTTTTTTTTTTTTTTTTTTTATGAAACAGGGTCTAATTCTGTCTCCCAGGCTAGAGTGCAGTGGCACAATCAGGGTTCACTGCAGCTTCCATCTCCTATGCTCAAGTGATCTTCGCACTTTAGCCTGCTGAGTAGCTGTAACTACAGGCACGCACCACCACACCTGGCTAGTTTTTGCATTTTTCATAGAGATGGGGGTTGAGGGGGGTTGGTCTCGCTATGTTGCCCAGGCTGGTCTCGAACTCCTGGGATCAAATGATTTGCCTGCCTTGGCCTCCCAAAGTGTTGGGATTACTGGCATGAGCCGCCAAGCCCGGCCTATACTTCCAGTCTTAATTCCTCAAAAGGAGTGCATTGGGTGGAAATCAGACTTTTCTTATCTATGAGAAAAGAAAAAAAAAGATAAATTAGCATAGCTGCTATTTGAATAGCTCTAGCATTTGGTTTGTATCCACAAAGACAGGCCATAAGCAAATGGGTACTCATTCAAGAAAAGTGGGAATAGAGGATGGGGGGAAAAACGTATGTCCTCTTCTAGAACATCTTTCCTGTGCCAAATGGGAAGGGCAGGAAGAGAACAGAAGTGAGACCAAGCCTGGTACCAGCAAGAAAACAGTAGGAAGCTGCTGGAACTATGATGCACGTGCTATCCATTCACCAGCCCATTCAAAGGCTGTTTGTTCAGAAAATAATTTGATCAAAGGTGACTTTTCAGACTAAGTCTGAGAGCCAGAACACACAGACAATGTTTTATTTATTTATTTTTCAAAATAAAGTGCTTAGGTTTCTTCAGGGGGACAATAATTGGAGATGCAACTCCAATTATTGGGGTGGGACTGCACCGAATCTGAAAGATGTCCTCAACAATAGCAAGTGGATAATTTGCTTCAGTTTAGTTTTTGGTGTGTTTTGTTGTTTTCTTTCAGGAAAAGTTTAGGCATCACATTCTAGAGAAATATTCTTTGCATACTTTTTCTGAAACCAGACACTTTATGGGAAGTCAAAAAGATGATTTTGACTTAAACAAAAGCTGTTAACAAAAATAAAAAAGAAAGAAAAAGAGAGAAGGGAAAGAAAGAAAAGAATTCCTTTTCCTGTGTCCTCTAAAAAGGGAATTATTTGTAAACTGCACTTTTGTCACCTTTAATCATTTTTTTTCAAATTGCAAATTAGCTAGCCCAACAATCTTGGACCATTTATTCAATAAGCACATTATAGGAGCATTTGATAATCATGGTATATAACAACTAAAATAGAACTTACGACACGTCCCCACTTTACCTCCCATGCAGTCATACACAAAATGAGATTTAAAATGGAGTAGAAAGACATGACACATACAACTTAGTTTTAATGTTGTGATCATTTGCTCGTATTATGACAATCATGCTGATAAATTCTGTTACTTCTCATATCTACTGTGTCCACACCCTTGGTCCATTTGCTTTTCATTTCAGTAGCTGGCCCAGGTCAGAGCAATGAGAAGGTCCTAAATTAGCTCCTAAAAAAAGAAAAAAAAGTGACTAATCTTACATTCACAGATTTTTTTTTAAAAAAAGAATTTACTTCATGCAAATCACCCTGCTGTCTTCCCTATCTTTGAAGCTCCTGTGTAATCCTTAAGGGAGGGTTTTAGGAGCATACAGCATATTACAATACGACTTTTCTTGGTTGTAAATGAGCAAATTTTCTGCTGGGAGCTAGAGGAGCACACAGTGGAACTCTGTGTTGTAACCAGGGTCACCATCAAACATATTGTGATTTGATTATTGCTTAGCTGTTTCAATTTTCTTATGATATATATGGTCTTAAGTAAATCATAAGTTCCTCAAAGGAAATCTGTCAGTATACACTGCCTTGTAATCCCCAGAATGCACAATAACTGAAATCCTAAATGAAGATCCTTAAAAGGAATGGCTTCAAAAGATGGCTTAATAATTATTTAAATTTTCTCCCCCAGAGAAGTGAGACTCTACAGCATTTAAAAGTATATGGTAATGGTGAATGATTTTTTTTTTTCCGCCTGCTCTTTCCTTTTTCTAGGGGAGTGAGGATTTGAAAGAGTGTGAGTGTGAGTGTGTGTGTGGGGGAAGGGTGTACGTACAAGTGTTTTCATCGTTTGCATCACCATGGCTCTTAATTACAGTAATCATTTTTGCAAATAGGCTTTGTTTTCTACTCTGAATCCCTGGCTTTTGGCAGGCTGCATTGGGCAAACACCTGTTGTCTGGTAAAACAGAGAAGCACCTGTCAGTGAAGCCACTAAGTACTAACTTAGGAGCTGTCATGGGGGTCTAGGGAATCTTTGCAATTGTCAGAAGAAAGGAAGGAGCACCTGCTTAGGGCCCAGGAGGGTCAAATGACAGCTTATTGACTTCTGACAGAAGATGTCGATGAATACATTCCCTTTCCTCTGCCTACTTCTGAGAAATGCAGCCTGTGGCCACAACGTCTGTTAATGAATGATTGACTGTGGCCAAATTTGAGGAAAAATCGCTTTTAAAGGAAATAGTTTAAGGAATATGAGGGCTTAGAGGCATCAAAAACTAAATGGCTTTTATAGGAGAATATCCAGCCGATAAGAGTGAAAGAGGGAAGTAATAAGAAACGGGAGAGGAAACAAAGAAATATTGACATGAAAAAAGGGACAAAGATGATTTTTTTCTATGTGATCATTTCCTTCAGAAAGTGACCATTTTGAGTGCATTAGTGGTTCTGGGCTAGTCCTATGTATATATATAGATCCAGTATAATAGACATCCCTGGAAAAGTTCTTATCAATTCCCTTGACAGTTTAGATACTTAAATGTGGCTTATGCCTATACATGGAAATGGAGGAAAACAAAATAAAAAAAAAAAGTAAACCTTTGGGAAGGAAAGAGAAAATAAAAAAGCTCACATTTTTTCAAAGATAAATTTTACTACCAGTATTTATCTTTAGAAATCCTAGTCTTTTGTTGCTCATGCTTAAGATACATAGAAATCCACACTGGCTCAGGAAATTTTCCCTTTTTAAAATTTATTTTTATTTTCAATTTTTGTGGGTGCATAGTAGGTGCATATATTTATGGGGTATGGCTCAGGGAAATTTCTTGAACCTCCCTGATCCTGTGAAAGATTACCCACAAAGCTGGATGTTACAAGGATTGGGCACTTGAGCTTTTCCATCTGTATCTCTTTCCAGTTGGAATTACTCTCCACAATATTCTGTGGGAGGAGCTGCCAGCCTGAATTCTTCCTCCAGATGGAGATTGCTTTTCTCTTCTGCCCCATTGTCTCTCATAAAGCCACTCTCCTTTCCTTATATTATTATTTTCCTAGTCTTGGGGGGGTCTCTTAGCAATAAATACAAAGGGAAATTGGGGGTGGATGAAAAAAACTGTAGGCAGGAAGGAAGAGAGGCAGGAGAAATCATTAAGAGAAATTTTAATCTTGAATTCATCCTTAATTTTTCTTTTTCCTGCACTCTCTGTATGCAACCCATTAGAAACTCCTTTTGGCTTTATCTTCCAAATATATCCAGAATCCAAGTACTTTCCACCATCTCCACTGCAACCCTCATCACCTCTCACATGGATGACTGCAATAATTGGTCTCCTTGCTTTTGGCCTTGGGCCCTTAAAATTTATTCTTAATGCAGCAACCAAAATAATCCTTTAAAAAATAAAAGTCAGTTTATGTCACTCCTCTTTCTTTTTCTTTTCTGTTTTTTTTTTTTTTTTTTTTTTTTTAAGACACGATGTCCCTCCATCACGCAGGCTAGAGTGCAGTGATGGAATCACAGATCAGTACAGCCTCAACCTCCCAAGTTCAAGTGATTCTTGCACCTCAGCCTCCTGTGTAGCTGGGACTATATGCTCCCACCACCATTCCCAGATACATGTTTTTATTTTTTTTGTAGAGATGGGATCTTTCTATGCTGCCCAGGCGTGGTTCCAATGCCTGGCTCAAACAATCCTTCCACCTTGGCCTCCCAAAATGCTGGAGTTACAGGCATGAGCTACTGAACCCAGCCCACTCCTCTTCTTTAAACCAACAATCAATTCTTATTTATTTATTTGTTTATTGAGATGGAGTTTCATTCTTGTTGCCTAGGCTGGAGTGTAGTGGCGTGATCTCAACCCACTGCAACCTCCACCTCCTGGGTTCAAGCGATTCTCCTGCCTCAGCCTCCCGAGTAGCTTGGATTACAGGCATGCACCACCATGCCCAGCCAATTTTTATATTTTTAGTAGAGATGGGGTTTCGTCTTGCTGTTCAGGCTGATCTCAAACTCCGGACCTCAGATGATCCACCCGCCTCAGCCTTCCAAAGTGCAGGGATTACAGGCATGAGCCACCACTCCCAGTCAATCAACTGTTACTTTACTCAAAAGCTAAAGTCTTTGAGCGATTATGAAGCCCCTACCTGCTCCCCTGGCTCACTCCTTTCAAACCATGCTTGCTTCCTTGCATTCTTCCAACTCAGCAGCTAGACTCTCATCTTCCCACATTCACAAGGGCCATGTCCTCTGTTGGGACTGCTCATCCCCAATATATTTGTCTGGCTAACTCCTTCTCCTCCTTAAGTCTTTGCTCACGTATTTTCCCCTCAAATGATACCTACACCCTCTATAGAGTCACTCACATCCATACTGCTTATCTTTTAAATTTTTCCACAGTAATTATTTTTGAATAAGCAGTTACAGAGTTCTTACTATAAGCCAGATATTCCAGCACTATTGCCTTGTCTATTTTATAGGTCATAAGAAAATGAGGCACAGAGAGGGTAAATAACTTACCCAAGTCACACAGTTGGGAAGTGGTGGGGCTAAGGTTTGAATTCGGACAGTCTAGCTCTAGGAGTAATGCTTTTATAACTTTGTTTTGCTGCACTCATCACCTTCTAACCCACAAGGGAACATTCTTCCGTATTACATTTATTGCTTATTGTCTGTTTCTCCCTGCTAGCATGTAAGCTTCAGAGGGTAAAAATCTTTCTTTTGTTCACAAGTATTTACCAAACACCGAGAATGATACTTGATATATTGTTGGTACCCAATAATTATTCTTTGAATAAATAATACATTTGAAGATTGAGGGTCTGCTCTCCAGCTTGAGATACATTATTTCGGCTTCATTGTCAAGAACTTTCACTTCTCAGGAACCTCAGCTTTACTCCATGTGGCTTCAGGCAGAGTAGAATGAGGAGAAACAAAATTCTAATCCAGACATTTTATTCCAGCCTATAATTTTTGAATGCAGGAAATTTCCTCAGAGGTGCTGCTCTTATTTCCCTCTGCTTTTATTATGTTTCTTTTACAACTCCACCCATCCCTCTCTACCCCATAAATGAAGTAGGTAAATGTGAGAGGAATCCAGGAAAAAAAGGAGAAGCAGTAGGGTGTTCACCCTTGTTCTTACACACACCAAAACCACTTAACCTTTTAACGTCTTTTTCTATATGAATTTCGTAGTAGCAACATCAAATAGACAGAGAGATTTTGAATCAGAAAATTGGAACGTGTGCCAGAAATGCTACTGGTTCTTTGCGGTACCCACAATTCAAAGCAAAACAAAGAAAACCTTGTCATCCAGATGTCCTGAAAATGCCAGCAGGGCTGAGTAGAAGCTTGTGGTGCTTCAAAACTTAGTTCATTTTGTAAAGATAGCACGGGGAATATAGAAAGTGCTAGTAGAAACCAATATACATGAAGTCTAATTCTATAGCCCACTCCCACATATAAACATACACACACACTCAGAGTAGCTGCATAGCCATGGTCAAACTCCAAAGCCTTATTTTTGTTCTCTGTAAAAATGGGAGTTATAACTTTTCCTCTGGTATGCTTTGTTGTGAGAAGAAAATAACACACGCATGACTATGAATGTGAAATCATTACACAAATATAATTATGTGGTAAGTATGTCAAAATAATGCACCTTAATATACAAAAAAGCCTAATGAATGAGTACAAAAGTATTTTAATCAGTTCATTGTGTCTTAGGGAAATGCAAACAGTAAAGCAAATAAAATTAATCATCTTCTTTGTTTTTCGTGGCAGAAGAGCTTGGTCCAATAGCTTTTTACAAGGTTGATATGATTCTCTGTTGGTATTTCAGCAGCTGAAAGACAGTTACAGTGAATATTTGTGGATTATAGAATGAATGAAATTTATCTACCTTATTTTGAAGGACAACACTAAAGGAAAGGAAGATAATTAAAGAAGTCCATCTGCATTTTCAACCATCTTCTTCAAATAGTAGTATTTTTGTTGTTGTTGCCAGAACTATATAAAGGTAACAAATGTCACCAACGTGTCATCTCTTTTGGCTCTGATCCATAATGATAACCTGTCCACTCTCTAAAAGAAAGGGAGTTCACTTCAGGTTTCCATATCAGAATACCTTTATAGCAGATACCCTCATTCCATGGTAGTTAAAGCTATGTGTCTTAAAATAACTTCACCCTGATTGAGTTAAACTTTGCAGTGGCTAAGCTGCAACAAACTTCAACCCATTTTCACCTCAGTTTCTCCATTAGTAAAACCAAGATACAACCTTCTCAACTTTGTTTTCCTCATATATGATTACTTTTTAAAGTTTTAAAAAGTACTTTCAGGCCTCTTTACTTACTATGTACTTTGATTTGTTGGAGAAAGATAAGCAACAGTACTGTATGTTTACTATAGCAAGTCATATTAGTAAAAGTTTTGAGCATGGCTAAGATTAAAAATTAAAAAGATTACATGTTTTAAGAAACAGAAGAATCATAAAGAGTCTTTATCAGGCCGGGCACAGTGGCTTATGCCTATAATCACAGCACTTTGGGAGGCCAAGGCAGGTGGATCACCTGAGGTCAGGAGTTCGAGACCAGCCTGGCCAACATGGCAAAACCCTGTCTCTACTAAAAATACAAAAATTAGCCGGGCGTGGTGGCACATACCTGTAATCCCAGCTACTGCAGAGGTTACAGTGAGCCGAGATCACGCCACTGCACTCCAGCCTGGGCAACAGAGTGAGACTCTGTCTCAAAAAAATAAAAAGAGTCTATATCAATGTGAAAGATCACCATGGGTTTGTTATTAACATTTGAAATTGCTATTAAGAATTTGTGGCTGGATGTGGTGTCTCATGCCTGTAATCCTAGCACTTTCAGAGGCAGAGGCAAGAGGGTCATGTGAACCCAGGAGTTAGAGACCAGACTGGGCAACATAGTGAGACCCCCTATCTCTACCAAAGTTTTTTTTTTTTTTTTTTTTTTAATTATCTGGGCCTGGTGGCCTGAGCCTGCAGTCTCAGCTACCCAGGAAGCTGAGGTGGGAGGATCATTTGAGCCCAAGGGTTCAAGGCTGCAGTAAGCTGTGACTGCACCTACTCCAGCCTAGGCAACAAAGCAACACCCTTTCTCAAAAAAAAAAAAAAAAGAAAAGAAAAAAGATTTGTATTACCTTTTTATTTATTAATAAGGCAGAGGGAAACTCTTATACTATTCCTTTGCAATTGTTTCATAGTTAATATACTGCCACTGAAAGCAGGATTGTTAACTAAGCAAAACTCTGGGGGACTCTTCGGTTGGAGGTCCTTAAAGGGAATCACAAGAAGCTTATTACAGGAAATGTTAATGCTGAGAAGCAGGAAATACTAAGGTCCTAATATGAATTGACACAAGATTCAAGCATCTGACAGGAAGAAATCAGCACACATCTAAGCATCAGCACTGGCAGCTGCTTGGGTGAGCTATGCAGCATTATCCCTCTCCAGCAGCACATCTGACCCTAGAAGATAAAGCATGCGAGCCTCCGTGACATGCACAACGCTCAGAACACTTCCTGGCTCTGCCACCTGGAGCAAGTTTCTTGACCTCTCTGGACCTTAATTTCCTCTTTTGCAAAATTGAAACACCAATAACCTCTGCCTCAGAGAGTACGGTTTCAATTATTGCTGTGAAAATTAAGGTGCTAATGCCTATAAACAAAGCAGTATTGTCAGTTTCTGGGAACTTGTAAGCCTCACGACCATTAACTATCAAAACAGAATCCCTCTTTCTCCCCCTTGGAGATTCTGGAGGATATCTTTTTGGAGGAGAGAGGAATTCACATTTCAACGCAAGTCAACGAATGTATCTAAATGGGCTTTCCTTTCCTAAGTCAGATTTCTTCAATCCAGTGAAAGATTAAAAAATGCTATTTAATTTGAGTGGTAAAAGTCACAAGGTGCTTCCTTTGTCATAAATATCAGAGATAATGTCATCAGATGACATACAGTAAAATGACAGGCCTCCATTTTAACAATGGTACACAAGGTTTTCAGGCTAGGAAATAATGATCTCTGGTGTCTTGTCATTACTGGAGTGATGACTTTCTGGTACCTGCATTATGTGTTCTACCAGCAAGTGTAGCCATATTTCTTCTAGATAACAAAGGTGCCTGTCAGGTAGTGCCAGAATGAAGCCTTAGAATGACACTCCATTTGTCAAATCAGTATGTTACAAAACACATTTTTCTTTTGGGGATTTCCTAGCCTGTCTACATATTAAAGCTATATTAAAGAGTCCCTCTTGTGTTTGAAATGGAAAAAATCAGACAAGAGCAAACATTTTAATAGCAAGGGAGAGATTAGAGTTTTGATGAAACACACATAATCCTGTGCACACTCATATTTTACTTGTTGCTTTTTAGTATGAAGGTGAAAGAGCAACTGGACAACAGTAGTCAATGGTGTAAACTTAATTTGTATTTTCTTTTATTTTGGTTTTATTTCTATTTGAAATTTATATATAGTAAAAGTCATTCTTTTTGGCATGTGGATCTGAGTTGGGACAAATGCTTAGTCATGTAGCTGTCACCACAATCAAGATCTTAATTTGGTTTCAATTGGCACTAAGAAATATGTAACATAATTTGAATGATAAAGTGTTCCTGGCCCAGTCCTTCAAATGGAAAACATGAAGAATGGGGAAAAATATCAGAAGTTCTGTCTTCCAAGATGTACTTCTGTCTTCTGCAATGAAGCATTCACTTCTCACAACTTTTTTGATTAATTTCTTCCCTTTTATTTACTTTTCTAATATCTGAGCTTAAAAGCCATTTTCTCACGAGAGCCTTCCCTGACTCATCCCCTACCCCAAATCGAGACGAATCTACACCTAAGTTCTTCCATGATGTGTTTCTAAGTATTCTCTTCTTTTTAAAGTATCCTTGATTATCACAATTTTATCTATATACATTTATATATATATATATATATAATATATATATAAACTTATAGCTTTTATTGGACTATTTGTCTAATGTCTGTCTCCCACACTGACTCAGCTAAAAAAAAGAGTTGAATGTTGATTGGTCCTCTATTCTCTCTAAAGAACATCATTTGTTTTAACAATTCTTTTAAGGTACTAGGTTAAAAGAAGCCTAATTCTTGTCATTAAATTTTAAATTAACCACCCACCCACTTCTCTGGTAATTAGATAAAAGCTGTGAGAAGTAAGAGTCAGAGTGCATAACTGCAAATCAACAGTGTGATTTATAAAGTATGTAAATGAAGTTAAATGTGGAACCTTCTTTGTATGAACTTATTGCCCAACTAACAAATGACACAACATCTGCCTCTAGTCTCACTCCGTCTAGAGTTAGATTCTACAGTCTACTGAACTTTTTAGTAGTTTTTACTGAACAATATGCTCTAAGCTAGGCTGGCCCACAAAATTTGGCCTGGGTTCGAAAACTGGCAAAAGAGGCAACTCAGACAATAGCAAAGGTTTCTTTCATTTTGCTTTACCATAGAACCTGCAAATAAGTAAAGGGCATGCATCACATGAATTTATGAAGGACTGTATGTGACTGCTTATTTCTTCCTAAGTTCTTCATATTGGTTGGTGTGTGCAAAGTATGTTGATTTAGTCAGTCCTTTAAAGTACTAATGGGGTAAGAGGAGCCAAAAAATAAAAATAAAAAACTGAAAAAACAAAAACATAACACTACCACCGTCTATGCTTTTTAGGGGGAAAAGGCCACACCAGCACCGAAGGTTCTATCAGCTAGGAATTCTTGCTACTCCACGATGAAACGCTCTTGAATTCTCTTGTTTCCATCATCATTGATATGTAGCAGCCCAGTCATGGCCTACTATGAACTTTATGCCATTGGAGACTCTATTTTGTTTATTATTTAATTGAATCCCCATTACCTAGCATAATGCCTGCAACAGATAATGCACTCAAAATATTTATTGCATGAATAAGCAAATGCACATATAAGTCAGTGCTAGTTCTGGCTCTGCCATTGATTAACCACATGGTTGGGCAAGTTACCCTCTCCATGTGTCAATCTCATCTATAAAATGCAAAATATGTAAAAGTTATTATTATTATTATTGTTATTGAGACAAAGTTTCCCTCTGTTGCCCAGTCTGGAGTGCAGTGGAGCCATCATGGCGCCCTGCAACCTTCACCTGCTGGGCTCAAGCTATCCTCCCACCTCAGCCTTTAGAGTAGCAGGGACTACCAGCTCCCACCACCATGCCCAGCAAATTTTTGTATTTTTTGTAGAAATGGGTTTTCACCTGTTGTCCAGGCTGGTCTCAAACTCCTGAACTCGAGGGATTCTCCCACCTCAGACTCCCAAAGTGCTGGGATTACAGGCATGAGCTACCACACTCAGTTAAAACCTTTTAAAAACTAGATAGAGGCCAGGCACGGTGATTCACGCCTGTAATCCCTGTGCTTTGGGAGGCCTATGCAGGCAGATCACATGAGGCCAGGAGTTTGAGACCAGCCTGGTCAACGTGGTAAAACCCTGTCTCTACTGAAAATACAAAAATTAGCCGGGTGTGGTGGCACACACCTGTGATCCCAGCTACTCAGGAGGCTGAGGCACAAAAATCACTTGAACCAGGCGGCGGAGGTTGCAGTGAACCAAAATAGCGCCATTGCACTCCAGCCTGGGCAACAGAGTGAGAGTCCATCTTTAAAAAAAGAAAAAAAAAAAGTCATAACATAAACAGGATCAGCAAGAAAATGTCACTTGTGCCTCCTCTTAATCTCAGGGTTTACTGATCATATTAAATTGATTCAATTAAATTAAACAATATTAAATGACAGAAAGAGTGTGTTTTAGTTCTAGTAATGCTGATTATTCATATATGGCTTTGGACATATTATTTAAATTGCATGAACCTTCATTTTCTTATATATAAACTTAGGATAATAATGAAGATATTTCTGATATTTTTCAACCTCAACATCAGATTATTCTAGTTTCTTCTACAGAATTTAATAAAAAATTAAATTCTTTATTTAAAATTATGAAAATTCTTTAATTAGGCAAAGCATGGTGCCTGTAGTCCCAGCACTTTGGGAAGCCAATGCAGATGGATCACTTGAGGTCAGGAGTTTGAGACCAGCCTGGCCAACATGGCAAAACCCTGTCTCTACTAAAAATACAAAAATTAGCCGAGTGCGGTGGTGCAAGCTTGTAATCCCAGCTACTTGGGAGGCTGAGGTGGGAGGATTGCTTGAACCTGAGAGGCAGAGGTTGCAGTGAGCTGAGATCACGCCATTGCACTCCAGCCTGAGCAAGAGTCAGACCCTGTCTAAAAAAAAAAAAAGAAAAAAGAAAATTCTTGAATTAATATCTTTTAACTGTCCAATTTCTAATGATTCTCTTTAAACTTAAGTGAAATTAATAAGTCCTCTAAACTTTATGATGAAGATACAATTCACAGAAAAAAATATTTCTGAAAAATACAATAGAGGTAGGTATAAAACAGGGAGAAACAAAGCATAGGGGGAAAATGATATCCCAGGAGATGGGGATCATTATGCTTGCAGGAGGATTAGTATAAAGAAACATGATCACAGCATCTACTAAATCAAAAAGAATAAGAGTACTCTAACTTACAAGAGTGGATTAGTCATCATTTTATCTTCCAAACTTTTCATTTTTGTTCTCTTTGAAACAACAATTTGGATTTAAGCAGAACAATTTTACTCCTCCCTGGACACAAATGACAGCTTTCAGTTCTGCAAAGATTTCTTTTAGCCTTTGAAAAAGTGCCAAAGATCCAGGATTTTTTCCAGATTTCAACCACATTTCTGACATCGTGCATCAAATAAGATATGACACATGGACAGAATGGGTTCCTAGAGGTATTTAGAAAAAAAAAAAAAGAAAAGAAAACCTACCTCTTTGTTACAAGAGTAAATCTCTCTTAGACTGACAAGACCAGGCTGAGCCAAAATATCTTTAAGTTTTTTCACATTCTATTTAAAGGATACTGTTTTTTTTTATTTGATGAAATAAAGTTGCAGAGAAGGTAGAGAACATACCATTATTCAGAGCAATTATATTGAGAAGCAAATTAGATATGGCCCTCTGGCCAGAAACTCATGAAGGACAGAAGAGTCGCTGAAAAAAAAGCTAGAGCTTTATATAGTCACAAATGATCCATTTGAGGAAGAGAAAGTTTAGGTATTTTAGACAAACTTTCTATTCAGTGAACTTTCTTAAGATCTCTGACTTTTTTAAAAAACTAGTAAAATAGGAGAAAAAGCACAGAAACAATGACAAACGTAAATGAGTGGCAGAAAGCAGTTTCTGGAAGATGAAGAGCAGAATGGATCAAGAAATGGAAAAGACAGCTACTTTTGAGGTGACACTAATTAATTTCTAACTTTCTTTTTTTAATTTATTTTTTTATTTTTTGAGACAGGGTCTTGCTCTGCCACCCAGGCTGGAGTGTAGTAGCTTGTCTGTAGGTCCTGCAGGCCTTGAACTCCTGGGCTCAAGTTATCCTCCTGCCTCAGCCTCTCAAGTAGCTGGAACTATAAATGTGAGACACCACACCAGCTAATTAATTTTTTTAATACGTAGAAACAGGTTCTCATTATGTTGTTGGGGCTGGTCTAGAACTCCTGGGCTCAAGAGATTCTCCTGCCTTGGCCTCCCAAAGTGCTGGGATTTCAGGCATGCGCCACCATGCCCAGCCAATTTCTAACTTTCTAATAAACATCTTCAACTAAATTTCCCAAAGATTCCTAAAACTTTGCATGTCCTAAATATTCCATATATTTTCCTTTTTTTAACTTTTATTTTAAATTCAGGGATATATGTGCAGGTTTGTTACATAGGTTTATGTCACGGGAGTTTGTTGTACAGATTATTTCATCACCCAAGTATTCAGCCTAGTACCCAATAGTTATTTTTCCTAATCCTCTCCTTCCTCCCACCCTCCACTCTCCAATAGGCCCCAGTGTGTGTTGTTTCCCTCTATGCGTCCATGTGTTCTCATCATTTAGCTCCCACTCATAAGTGAGAACATGGGGTATTTAGCTTTCTGTTCCTGCATTAGTTTTCTTAGCATAATGGCCTCCAGCTTCATCCATGTCCCTGCAAAGGTCTTGACCTCATTCTTTTTCATGGCTGCATAGGGTTCTATGGTATATATGTACCACATTTTCTTTGTCCAGTCTATCATTGATGGGCATTTGGGTTGGCAATCCTGTCTTTACTATTGTGTATAGTGCTGCAATGAACAAATAAATATGTGCGTGTGTCTTTATAATATAATTATTTATATCCCTTTGGGTATATATCCAGTAATAGGATTGCTCAACTGAATGGTAGTTCTGTCTTTGGGTTTTTGAGGAATTGCCATACTGTCTTTCACAATAGTTGAACTAATTTACACTCCCACCAACAGTGTATAAGCATTCCTTTTTCTCCACAACTTTGCCAGCATCTGTTATTTTTTGACTTTTTAGTAATAGCCATTCTGACTGCTGTGAGATGGTATCTCATTGTGGTTTTGATTTGCATTCTCTAATGAGAAGTGACATTGAGCTTTTTCTTCATATGATTGTTGGCCGCATGTATGTCTTCTTTTGAAAACTGTCTGTAGTTTTGATGAAAACCTGAGACAAAGATTGGGTATATTAATATATATTTTATTTGGAAGATTACTCTAAGAATCAGGACAAAAAAAAGAGCTTTCAGAGAATGAAAGCAGAAATGGAAAAAAAAAAAGACAAAAGAGGCACGAGTGGGGTACATTATTAAACTGGTTAACAGCAACAGCAACTGGGGCTCAGATCCACTGGGACATATTGGGCTCCCTGTAGAAACTGCCTGAAAACAGTATCTGAGTAGGATGGGGAAGTAGGAGCAATGATCCATTGATTCCTTTTCCTCCCACTTCCAGGCTGCATCTGTGTGTTGGTTTGGAATACGTGTGCCTTAGGAGAAAGCCCTGAAGTAGGAAAGCAACAATGCACATCTTCTCATTAAGATGGGACCCTAGCAATGTGCATGGAACTGCTTACCAGAGCAGTGCTGAAATCACTTGGGCAAAGAAGAGATGGTGCAAAGCACCACAGTGTCTATTATAATCTTTACTTCAGATTGCTCCTCCCCATATATATTCACATTTTGTTTTCTGTGTGTTTGTTGTTGCTGTTATTGAGATGGAGTTTTGTACTCTGTCACTCAGGCTAGAGTGCAGTGGTGCGATCTCAGCTCACTGCAACTTCTGCCTCCTGGGTTTAAGCGATTCTCCCGCCTCAGCCTCCCGAGTAGCTGGGATTACAGGGGCGTGCCACCACACCCGGCTAATTTTTGTATTTTAGACATGGTTTCACCATGTTGGCCAAGCTGGTCTCAAACTCCTGGCCTCAAATGATCTTCTCACCTCAGCCTCCCAAAGTACAGGGATTACAGACGTGAGCCACCATGCCCGGACTCACCTATCTATTAATGCAATCACCATTACCAAGTTGTGCAAGGCAGAATGCTTTGAGTTATTGTGTACATCCACATCCCTCAATCCCTCACATCTATATCAATACGTTTTGCTGTTTCTGCTTTTTAAATAGTAGTAAATAACAGTTAACATAAAATTTCTCATATTACCTACTTTCAAGTGTATAGCTCAGTAGTGTTAAGTACATTCAGAGTGTTGTGAAATGGATATCCAGAGCCTTTTGATCTTGCCAAACTGAAAATTTATACCTAAATTTTATCCCTAAATAGGAGTTTAGCACAACTCCTATTCTCCCCTTTCCTCAGTTTCTGGTAACCACCATGCTACTTTCCGTTTTTTGTGAATTTGACTATTTTAGATCTCGTACACGAGTAGAATCGTATTTGTCTTTTTGTGAGTAGCTTATTGCATTTAGCATAATGTCCTCAAGGTTTATCCATGCTGTGGCATATGACAGATTTCCTTTCTATTTGAAGTCCAGTAATATTCTACTGTATGTTCATTTTGTGTATCTACTCACCCATTGATGGACATTTGTATTGCTTCTACCTCTTTGCTATTATGAATAGCACCACTGTGAGCATGATTTATTTTAACAGGTAGGTATATTTTTCATGTAGTGGTAACCATACTGTATGTACAATATAGTTCCTTTCTCATTTTAACATAGTGTACATCATCAAATTGAAAATGGATAATGGTAAAGTCCTGCATTTAGGCTAAAAAACACAAGTTGCTCAAACACAAAATAGATAATAGAGGACTCAACAAAGCTGTGTTGAAACATTCAAAATTACAATACAACACACATTTGCTATACTATCAGTGTAAATCTCCATTGAGATAAGTCTTCTAAAAATCAGTTGCAATATTGGGATGCTTTAAGAAAGATATAGATAAATGTCTCCAAAGCAGAATAACATATCTTAAACTGGAACCAGAGAATGACAATCAACATGCTGTAAAGGATCTGAGAATGTTTTCTTTGTTTGAAAGATGTTTAGCCTAGAAAATAAAATATTTGGGGGGACCATACCTTTTCCTGTAGATATAACTTTTTGACATTTACTTAGATATATTCTCACTTTCGATCCAAATATAAAAGTGTGTACTTCTAAAATAACAGAGGCCTTATTGCCATAACTTTATTAAAGCTGAATAACTACTAAAGTTGAATAACTATTAACAAGATCCTTAGTGATTAATGTATGAAAACCAAGGGTTTCTTGGGTATAAGTTTGTCTGTGACTAGAAAATGAGCATACAATTTTCAAACCACAAGAAATTTTAGAAGCAAATATATTTTCATGTAGTTATGAAACAGCACAGATTGAGCTTTTTTAAAATGATTTACATTTTTAAGTATTAGATAATTTAATTTTAAAAGAAATGCAAACTTATTCAAACAAAAGAGATGTATATTTTTAAAAACATGAACAGTTAGCAGTGTGTACTATCCTCTTTCATGTCTTTTCTGTGCTATCCCCAAATATATATTTGGATTGTTAGTTTTAAGAAATTGCATTTTGTAATACACATAGTTATGCATTCCTCACATAAAAATATACCAAGGGCAAACTGGATCAATACATATGGATATAGTTCTCTTTCTTAAATACTTGCCTTCTGTTCAATAGAGTTACATAGAATAAATATATATACATTTTATAATTATTCAAGTTGTTTCCAATAACTTTTTACCATTTGTTTACAATGCATTAATATACATTGGTACATTCAATTGTACCAATGATTGTATTTCTGTGGCATAGATTCCTAAAACTGGGATAGATGGGTCAAAGTTTATGTATATTTTATATTACAATATGTATTGCCAGAATCCTCCTCAAAAAGCTCTCCACAAACCCCTTGAGCAATGCATGAAACTCTTGACTCCTCACTTCTAAAGCAACATGGCTCTTCTAGATTTTATAATTTCATAAAAGTGTCTTCAATTATTTAACGAGCTTTGCAAATGAGATTAGACTATTTTGTGTCACTCAGAACGTAGAACTAGTGTAAAGGAAAGTAGCTTTTGGCTTAGTATAATTTTTCTAGCATTAGAGCTACTCATTAATGACATAGACTGCCTTATTAATAAGTTATTTTACTATTTTGGAGGCTGTGCATTGGAAATAACCTTTCTATTAATCATCTTCATACTTACACTATAATTTATTGTTTCTATAGAACATTAATATATTTTGATTTCCATTTATCTATGGATCTCCACTAATCTGTTATTTTATAGATATACATTTTAAAAACAATTTTGTTTTAATTTATATTGATATAAATAGAAAATTTACATTAATCCCAAAATATTCTCCCATTTTCTCTCTCTCTCTTTCACACACACATCTCCATCTTCTCCTTCGCACTTTGGAAAAATAGAATATTATGGGACACATTATTTACCTAGAAGTGTGTAATACAGTTACCAATATCCTAATTAGTTATCTTTTACAGATTATTTACCAACTTAATATTCATGTTAACATGTAAATGCTTAACTCAGGCATACCTGTAAACATAATAGAGAGCTCTTTGTTTTGATATATTTCTATTATCTTAGATAATATCAGTGATGCTGGAACTAAACTTTTAACCACCACATATTCCTCCCTCCCTCCCCCATAACTAAATTTTGGTATGCCAATCAAAGGAGAAGACTTTGAAAACAAGACAATGGAATAGTTTAAACTAAAGGTTAGAATTTATTTTAATAGAGGCTGCAGGTCTTAGCCAGGAAAAGAAGGTATTAGAACAGTAAACACCACAGACCCCAGAATTTGATGGTAAAATATCTTGGCAACAATAAGAGTATACACCATCTCAAGGACAGATGACTTGATATTTCCCAGATGTCACTGTTTAGTGTGTCACTGTCCAGCAGCAGCCACTGATTAGAAAAAGTCCTTTCTCCTCCTGAAGGCGCATGGCCGGCATTGAAGGCAGTAGGGGAGATGTTGGCAAGGTACCGGAGCAGGTGGCAGCAGCAGGTGTGATGGGCTAGAGATGACAAGGGCACAGAGTGTGCTGTTGGCAAGCTGTCAGTAACCAGAGTTCAGGAACTAGTGATAGCAGAGAAATTGCAGAGACGGTGACATGGGGATAAAGAAGCAGGACAGGACAGACTGTCATAGCAGGATGATAGGTACCCCGCAAACAAGCACAAACAGGGAACGTGATGAGAGTGGAAGTGGTGGCCTGCAGCCCCAAATTGGCTTGGGAGGATCATACCATGATGACAGGGAAGCCTGCAGTACTCCAGCAGACATGAGAGTCACCCAGAGCTTATATGCCAGAAGGCAGGTGATACACTGCAGCCACCATGGAGAGTGGAAAACAAAGAGAAATGAACCTTAATGATATTTTATTTTTCATTTATTGTTGATGCTTTGCTCTTTTTCCACTCAGGGGACAATAATCCAAAAGGAGCCCTTGGGCATCCACAAATACTCTAAGAACCCAGAGTTCTTAGCCTAGAAATCAGAGATTGAACATGTTGTTAGAGCTCCAATTCTATAGCCATGTTAAGACCATATATCAAGATGTTTAATTACAAATGATTGTAAAGTAATTCTGTCATATGATTCAACTGAGTAAATATTTACTGATGCCTGATTGCTGCATTAAACTTCTAAAAAATAGCAAGTCACTAAGGACTCCTGCAATGCAGGGTTTGGGTTCTGCCCTGACACTATGTAACAGTACAATGTGCAGACATTTTAATTCAATATGATGGAATTCCATCAATATTTTATTATGTTTGCCATGACAAATTGTCTCACACAAGAAGGTAGTCCTCAAGGAGGATAGTATTCCAAAAGTGTCAGACCTGCTCAGGGGAGGGTTGAGTCACAAAGCAGAGTTTAATTTCGGTACCTTACGATAAGTTTTCTGAGACAATAATAATTTTAAAGGTGACGTTTTTAAAATCATCATGAAAAAAGTTTTCAACTTGTAATGACAAAATTTTTTAAATGTATTAAAAGTGTTTACTAAAATAATAGTACCCAGGTATGATTCTGGGTGCTAGAGATTTGATAATAAATAACAATAACAACAAAACAACCATGACCTTTATGAACTAAATTCCAATAGAGCGAGGCAAATGATAAATGAACCACTTAAAAAAAATTTGGCCTGGCACAGTGGCTCACGTCTGTAATCCCAGCCCTTTGTGAGGCCCAGGCAGGAGGACTGCTTGTATGCAGGAGTTCAAGACCAGCTGGGCAACATAGCATGGCCCCGTCTCTATAAAAAATAAAAAAAAATAGCCAGGCATGGTGGCACATGCCTGTAGTCTCAGCTACTTGAGAGGCTGAAGTGGGAGGGTTGCTTGAACCCAGACGGTTGAGGCTGCAGTGAGCCATGACCGTGTCCCTGAACTCAGCCTGGGTGACATAGCAAGACCCTGTCTTAATAGAATAGAATAGAATAGAATAGAATAGAATAGAATAGAATAGAATAGAATAGAATATTTTTCATAGTAAGCAGGATGGAGATATCAGGTGGGAGGAGGAAGTGTTGTTAAATAACAACTGGTGGTCAAGGGAGGCATTTTTAATAAATTGCCATTCAACAGAAAAATGGAAAGTGAGGAAGCAAGTTGCACAGCTATGGAGAGAAAAAATGTTCTGGGAAAAAAAAAAAAAAAAAAAACATGCTTGATGTAGTCCAGAAAGAACAAGGAAGCCAATGTGATTGGCAAAGAGTGAGAGAGAACAAGACTGGTACAAGAAGAGGTCAAAGGAAACAGTGATCATTATCATGTGTGATCTTATAGATAATGGCAAGGATTGCAAATTTTATTCTGAAAGATAAGGGAAGCCAATGAAGGGTTCTGAGCAAAATTACATGGTCTGAATTAATTTTCAAAATGATCTCTCTGGAGTTGGGTAGAGGATAGACTGTACAGGACACAAGGGTGAAAGCCAGAAGTACTATTAGGAAACTATTGAAATAATCCAGTCCTAAGAGAATGCAGCTTTGACTGACGCATTTGCATTGGAGGGGATTGAAAGGTTGGATATTGGATACATGTTGAAGACAGAGCAGCAGGAGTGGCTGATAGATAGAAAGTGTACAGTACAAAAGAAACAGAGGAAGATAGGAATGACACCAAGTGTTTTGAATTAAGCTACTTTGCAGAATGGGTCCATTAACTTAGAAAGGACAGATTGCTGTAAGAATAGGTCTGGGGGATAAAATTAGGAGTTCTGTTTTGGCTATCTATTAGGTAAACACGTGACAATGTTAAATAGGTGTTGATTATAAAAGTCTGGAGTTAGAGAGAAGTTGATCCTAGAAATATAAATTCAGAAGCCATCAGCATATAGATGAAATTTAAAGCCATGAGACTAGATGAGGTCACCCAGGAAACTAGTATAGTTAGAAAAGAGATCAAAATATTTTAAAGTTAAGCCATGAATAAAATGAAAGCAAGACACTGAAAATCCCCAGCCAGTGAGGTAAGAGACAAACTGAGAGAGGTGGCCAGCAACCAAGAGAAGAAATTATTTCAAGAAGCAGGAAGTGATCAATCATGCTAAATGTTAATACTTGTCAGATGAGAAGAACTGACCATTAAATTTGACAACATGACATACTATTATTGTGAGTGATGAGAAAGTTTGGTTGAACTCTCTGAGCTCAAGAGAGAGCAGGAAGAAAAGATTTGGTGATTTCTAGAGCAGAAAATTCTCTCACTCATTCATGAATTTTGTTGTTTATGGGGATCAGAGAAAGGCAGGAGGTAGCTAGAAGGAAATATGGCAATGAGAAAAATATTTTTAAAATAGGAAATATCAACAGTACAATTGTATGAAGGTAGAAATGATTCGATAAGAAGAAAACTTGGGGATGTAAAGGAGGAAGGGGAGAGGTGCTGGGGAGGGGCAGGTTTCAGTACAGGGTTTCTTTGCCTTGGCACTACTGACTTCCTGGACCCTCGACCAGACAATTCTTTGTTGAGGGGGCTCTTCTGTATATTGTAGGATGTTTAGCAGCATCTCTGCCCTCTACCTACTAAATGCCATAATCACCTGCTCCCTCTCATTGAGTTGTAACAACCAAAAATGTATCTAGACGTTTGCCCTTTGAGGGAAAAAATCACTCCTGGTTGAGAAACACGTGTGTATGACTTGCTCTTAGGTAAAGGTACAGAGAGTCTGTCTATCATATCAGGAGGAAAAGCAGGGAAATGGTCATGGATACTGGTAACCTTGAAGATGGAGTAGTGGGAATATATGAAATTACTTCTGATTGTTTCTGTTTCATTTGAGAATGAGAATGGAAAAAATGCACTGGAGATTGGAGAGGAGAAGAGCAGCATCTAGGAGAGTGGGAGGGTGAATAGTCTAGGGAGATACAGTTGGATTGCCAGAGAGCTAAAGGTAATGGTAATGAATTTAAAGTAAAAACCAGTCAGTATGCTTAAGGCATTGTATCTATGGTTGTGGGTGGAGGACAAGCTCATCAGAGGAAAGCAGATTGAAAAAACTGAGAGGCAATCATACTGAAGGATATACAATATGGATATGGAAATAATTATGAAGAGAAAGAACAGAAATAATGAGGGAGAGAGAGAAACAGGAAATAATAATTGTAAGAAATAAGGAGATCTGAGCATCTGTATTGTCCCCAAGAAGGAAGGTAGCAAGTGGTAAAATCTGATGGCAAGAGGTCTGAAGTTGGGGGTTTTAGGAAGAAGTGAGGGACAGTAGTCTGGAAGAATACTTACCCCACTTCTGGCCTAAATTGCATAAGGAGCATGAGAGAAACAGCTGTGACTTGAGAGGTCTGTAGGGGAAGCATGATCATTGAGGCAGAGCAAGGATTAAGTTAGGACAAGACGATAAAGGGGCATTTTTAAACGCCATTGAAGATATAATGGATTTTTCTCATGAGGAAGTGAGTTCCGGAAGGCACAGTGGAAAATGAGAGGGAAGAAGGGGAAAACAAGGGTTAGATGAGAAAATGCTCAGAATTATGTGGAGATGAGAGACTTCTTATGATGATGTAGTAAATTGGAATGTAGGGCATGATGGGATGAGTCCTAATGGTTTCCTGAAACAGTGTCTTTAAAACAGTTTGCTTTAAGCAGTACATTGTATGTGGCTTCCAGTACACACTTTCACCAAGTAATACTTAAGTTAGGCATGTGTCATACATTTGATATATTCTGTTTTCTTTTTTCATCTGAACTATTCTCTGTAAAATGTTTTAAGTTACTGATTTGATTTCACAAGCCACTAATAGACGATGCTTCGCAGGTTGAAAAATATAATTTTAAACAGATTGTGTGCAGGTGAAATTGTGAATGGTTGGGGAAATATGCTTTTTCCTTAAACGCTTTTCACTAGTGGGAAACTAAGTACAACTCTCTTGTAAGGAATAAGAATTTCCAAATCTACAGGTGTGAGCAATGTAATTTTTAAAATTTTACAATCGAGTAAACCTGGAGGGAGGAATGGAAAACCTAAGAGTGACTCATTAATATAATTTTTGCTAATCCAACATAATGAAGAAGCAGAGATGTAAACTCAATGTTCATTGTTCTCTAATTCTTCATTATGTCAGATTGACCAAATATCAGTCTCTCTTGGTTTTCCATCCCTCCCTCCAGGTTTGGGGCAAGCTTAAGGTAATTTAGGGGACCTCGATTATTAGCCATTTGTTAATATTGATTGCCACTGGAATGATTATTGTTGTCCTAAACTATTCCTTAACAATTGTTAAACCTCTGCTATGTGTGTGCTGTATCTGCAGTAGGAATGTGCCAGACACTGTTCTCTAAGTATTTTTCCTCTCTGACAAACCTACCAGAGTTTTACAGCCCCAAGATATTTCTTTCTTCATATATTTGCCTCCTGACCAAACACTCCTACAATGTCAGAGGTTGTTCTTTTAGTTTGTGGGTGGAAGTTACTTTGTGTGTTGTTTTTTTAGTTTCTGCTGTTGAGTCTTTAAGTACCCTGCTGATATCTGGGAATCCCCTTGTCCCATTGTCTTCATCCACAAACCCTCTAACTTCTTCTAAGTGTTAGGGTTTTAACTACAAATCCCAAAAATATTGTATGCTGCTCTTGTTTCTACACAACCATATAGTTTCTCTAACTCAATAAAGTGAAGAGTCAGCCACTTGCTTGGATGGAGATCATGGAAAGAGGAAATATAGGGCTAAAGGAATCTAAATTAATAGCTCAAGCTCTTATTCAGCCATATTAACAACCTATTTGTCACTATTTCTAATGGTGAGACATTTCTAACAAGGACCAAATTTGGAAAATTGTAAATACACTTTTCTCATTTATTTCTGTGAGCCGTTCCTCAAGCTTGCCCAAAATATCCAACTGCCTGAGTATGGGAAGCAATGGTAAGGATTTATAGAAAAGACGAGAGAAAGAATGAAGTAATACAGCTGTCCCCCCGCCTCGTCCATGGTTTTGCTTTCCCCAGTTTCAGTTACTCATGGTCAGTCCTGGTCCAAAAATAGTAAATGCAAAATTCCAGAATAAGTAATTCATAAGTTTTCAATTGTATGCCATTCCAAGCAGTGTGATGAATCCCATGCCTTCCTGCTCCATCCTGCCCGGAAAGTGAATCATCATTTTGTCCAGCATGCGCTCTGTACATGCTATCTACCCTTAATCACTTGGTGCTTGTGTTTGAATAACTCTTATTTTATTTAATAATGGCGCCAAAGCATGAGAGTAGTGATGTTGGCAATTCAAATATGTCAAAGAGAAGCCAAGTATATGCCAACCAGTGGTTGTTAATCTCTTAATGTGCTTAATTTATAAATTAAACTTTATCATAGGTATATTTGTATAGGAAAAAACAATGTAGCATATACAAGGTTAAGTATTATCTGCAGTGTCAGGCATCCACTGGGGATCTTGGAACATATCGTCCATGGATAAACAGAGATCACTGTATTTGGTTTCTAACATGCAAAATGGGATTAGGCAGCAGGATTAATTAACCAGGACATTGTCTTGATAAACCAGGGTATCTCATCCTCAGCACTGTTGACATTTAGAAATGAAAATTTTTTTGTTGTGGGGTACCATCCTGTGCCTTGCAGGATGTTTAGCAGCATCTCTGGCTTCTGCCTAGTAGCACTGCACCCCAAATTGTGACTACCAAAAATGTTTCCAGAAACTGCCAAATGTCTTCTGTGAACAAAATTACCCCTAGTTAAAAACTACTGTGATAGAAGGTTTAATAAATTTCTTTAAGTTCTATTTAAGCTATCAGGCCAGATCTGAAGGACTTTATGATAGGATCTCCCCTAGAACGGAGAAAAGACTCCTTTCCCCTAGAGTAGCTAAGCCATAGAAAAAAGGATATAACCTAAAGATAGGGAAACATGTACAACTAGGCAAAATTCTCCCCCATTTTCCTTATAGCAGTAAAAATATTCTTTTACTTTTGGTCCTATTACTGTAGTCTGGAAATAAGTCTAATTATTTATTTAATTGCTACTCCATTTAATAACACTTCAGGTACTTGAAGACATGTCCTTCAAGTTCTTCTTTTTGAATTAATCATTTTTAATGACATGCTAGTGAATTTTTCTTGTGAACAATTTTCATGGGAGGCCAGGAGAATAAAGTATAAGATGTCTTTATCTCTGTGTGAATTAAAGCAAGAATATACATCCTCAAGGCATCTTTAGGCTTGCAACAGACATGCTTCTTAAGACATTAACAATTTCCACAAATATTGGATAGAACAGAAGAAGAATTGTTTCTTCCATGAATGCATAGTTTTTTGTTTGTTTGTTTGTTTGTTTTTTGGGACGGAGTCTTGTTCTGTCATCCAGGCTGGAGTTCAGTGGCACCATCTTGGCTCACTGCAACTTTTGCCTCCTGGGTTCAAGTGATTCTGCTGCCTCAGCCTCCCTAGTAGCTGGGATTACAGGTGTGCACCACCACACCCGGCTAACTTTTTAATATTTTTGGTAGAGACAGGCTTTCACTATGTTAGCCAAGCTGGTCTCAAGCTCCTGACCTCATGGTCTGCCCACCTCGGCCTCCCAAAGTGCTGGGATTTCAGGGGTGAGCCACTGCGCCCGGCCAATGCATAGTTATCTTACACATTATTGGCGTCACACCAAAAGCAGAACACTTCCTTCTAGTGTGCATTTTGGCAGTAGAAAGCCAGAATCCACCATCATGACTCTTAATATTCAAGAAGTATAAAAGTTTTGGAACTGCCTGGGGCTGAGGTTGCCAGTCTCCCACCTAAGCCCCAGTATTAATGGTCAGTGTGACCTTTACTCAGTGAGTTTAATATCTGATGTTTCTTCTTTTTAACAATAATTGTATCTTTTAGCCTTTATTCTTAAGCTGTAACATTAAGAGTACCACATGGAAAAATAACTCAATAATGATTTAAAAAATTCCAGTAGCAGTTATGAGAAATTAATAATGGGGGCAATAATAGAGAGAATGTGCTGGAAAAGGAGTTAACAGTCACAGACAGGAAGGTAGGGGGTTTGGAGGTGGAAAAAAGGTGGGGTTGACAGGGTGGAGAGAAGTAGAAAAGGAGCAACAACAGGAAACTAGCCAAAAAGTACAGGGTATGAACGTGCTTTCTCCCTCTTCTTTTTGGGAACTGATGACTCCCAGTCAGCTATACCAACTGGAAGGAAAGAGCAGGGAGGGAGAGGGTATGGAAGGACCTGAGAGTAGAGAAATTGAACACCTGAGAGAGGAAAAGGAAGGAAAATGAAACCACAGAGAGAGGAAGATGGGTTTTAAAAAGTATTCCAGCTATTGGTGTGTCCCAGCTAAAGTTATGGAAAGTTAGCAGAAGGAAAATAAATCTGAATTTAAAATAGAAATTGGTCATCAGAATAAAATTTAAAGAAGGCAGCAAGCAGTGAATCTTTGTTAAAATTTACCTAAGAATAGATAGCTGAGGATCTAACAAATTATTTAAGTATAAGGACATATTTATATATTATGTATCATGTAATTATAGATATGTTATGTTATATGAAAATAATTTCCAAGAAAGGTCAACAGGTGACACAGTCAGAATACAACTATGTTTAGAATTCTGTGAGCTATTCTACTATGTAAACAGGGAATGTTGATTCACTTGACTAGAAGTTAAGTTTGAACTGTTCTCCAAATTCTCCTTGGATTTTGCGGTAGTAAGAAAAAATATTTTACAGTAATTCTGATTTCAAGAATGAGTATATGTAATTTAAATTTTGAAGGAAGGTAGTATATAAAATATTTTCAAGAAAATTGGGGCTGACTGTACATCTGGAATTACAGGTGTAATTCCAGCACTTTGGGATGCTGCGGCAGGATGATTGCTTGAGTCCAGGAGTTTGAGACCAGCCTGGGCAACATAGAGAGACCCTGTTTCTACAAAAAATAAAAAAAAAAAAATAGTTAGTCGGACATGGTGGTATGTGCCTGTGGTCCCAGCTATTTGGAAGGCTGAGGCAGGAGGATTGCTTGAGCCCGGGACGTCAAAGCTGCAGTGAGCCACGATCATGCCACTGCACTCCAGCCTGTCTCAAAAAAAAAAAAAAAAAAAAAAAAAAAAAAGTGGGGCTTGGGTTTGGTTTTGTGATATTTTTGGTTTTGTGTTTTATAACATCAAAATGCTAAGTCTGCTTAGCACCAGAGGCCTCTACAAAAGAACTGGACCTAATTACTCAGCCTCCTTTTTTCCTATGCTCTACATTAACCTAGTATAGAACACAGGGCAAATTAAAAATATATTGTAATAAAGAATCATTTATTTTAAAGTTAGTTGTGATTATAGATTGTGACTAGCTGCAGTCAGCTACCAACTCAACTGGCTGTAATGACTCCAAAATGACTATTTTATTTCTTTACCATGAAGGTTTGATATTCCCCGTTAGAGGCTTTTAGAGGGGAAACTAAGGTATAATTTCCAAAGAAGTTCTAATAAATGTTTAAACCTTAAGATGGAAGAAATGAACATGTTAATATGCTATTTAATGTATTATTTATTAATTTTAAGACTAAAAAATATTTGTAGATCAGTTCCAGGGTTGCCATGAAGATCAAATTTTGAAATATATGTGAAATGTTTTGGTAACTATAAAGCACTAAAGAAATTTAAACGTTATTATTATTCATATTTCTCCTGAAATGAGTCATTGCAGTTGTTCATTACTGATACTTCAACTAAACAAGAATGTTAAATGATAAAATACAGCTGAAGAAAGAAAATTCAGTTCCTGCATATTCAGGGAAAAAACAGGAAGTTTGGTGAGCACTGTGAAAGCGCTATAAAATGGAAAGCAAAGAAATGTTTATCAAAGTTTCAAGAGGCAAAACATTTACTACTGTTACTTTTATAAGGAGACAATCACCCACCCAACATGAAAGTGTATTAGATTTATTCTGGGTTAAAAACTTATGCAGAAATAACTTGTATTTGTAGGACATATTTCAGAAAGAATAATACAAAACAGACAAGCAATAGTTTTGTTGTAATGTACAATGTTAATAAATACTTTTGAAAAGATTGGAAAGTGTGATAGACTGCTTCATACAGTTCATATGACTGGTGAATAATAATGCTAAAGAGAAATTAAGTAAAATTAAAACACGGCAATATAAAATAAAAGGTCAGTAAGCAGTGGAAACTAGCAGTAGAAAGTTAGTGTCAGATGTGAAGGAAGAGTTTCTGGATAAAAGCTTCTTGAAAGAATAAGGGAAGAAGAGAAGAAGTAACACAAAGCAGAACGGGTTTGTCTCACTGCATAGGCAAGCCAAGTATTGGCCTGATTCTTTGATTTCAAGAACCTTTGAAGTAGGGTCAAGTTCATGAGCATGCTGTCTGTGCAGTGTCACGGGTCCTAGGCTCAGAAAGACCTCATGTTAGGTTTAAAGCTCTTCCATTGCCGTCTTGAAATTTTAAATAAATTTATTTATAACTTATGTTTTGGAAATGAAATCTAATGGTACAATGGAGCCGAGGAGTGTGCACAGGAGATATCTCAATATGAGTATCCACCACTATTCCTTGCTGCCACATTTATATATAGCATTTGTGATGCCCCATGAGCACAGAATTCCAGTGGACTCACAATGCGTAGTAAGTAGTTCAGTGAGAAAGGTAGTATGAGGTCAGTTTGTTAAATCTAAGATTGACTAACGGTAGGGTGGGGATGTAGGGGGGACTTGCTGAGGTCCCTGGGATGCCACCCTTTCAGTTTCAACTAGAACTTGTTTGGAATGCAGAAAGAAGGCAATGGTGTTGGGCTGCTTTTTTCGTATTAGCCAACCAGTTATGTTGAAAATAAGATCAGAAGAAAAGGGAAAGATAGGACAGGCCCCAATTCCTTTTGCTTTCCTTCCTTACTTATCAGTAAGCCAAAAGTAGAATGTATTGGTAGAATGTGTATCCTTCAAGAAAGGAAAGAAAAAACATGTTAGCTTTGTGCAGATTTCTACTGTTCTGGTAACAACAGAATACATACAAAATACAAAATAGAATTGTATAATTTTGGTGATTCTGCATACAGGTTAAATGCTCTTATATTTACATCTAAAACTGGCATTGCACAATATGAAGATATGCTGTAAAATTTCTAATGATCTTAAATTTAAAAAATTTTCTACTTAGAACAAAATTAAATGCTAATGAAAAACAGTATAAGTTGAAAGAGAAGCAGAAATAGAAGAAAAACCCTTATATTTGGATATCTTTAATGGTACTTTTTTCCTTTTTTTTTTTTTGAAAAGGAGATCTCACACTTTTATTTTGCACTGGGCCCTGAAAATTACGTAGCCAGAGCAGTCTGAGGAGTCTGCACCATTTCTCAGCTGTAACCCGAAATACCCTTTCACTTACAGGGACCTCAAATTCTGTTAAGAAAACACAAAGCTTATCATTCAACAATTACCAAGAAGCTCAAAATGCTAAAAGAGATGTAATACAAATAGCAGTGGACTTAATATTTAAAAGAGTGATTAAGTTCTAGCACTGTCACCATGTGTATTTGGGAAAGTTATTTACATTTCCTAGCCCTTCACTGCCTCCACTGTAAAATGGGCTAAATTATCTACCTGTAAGTCCCCTGCAAGCTCAATGGAATCTGAAACTAAATCTGTATTAAGCACATAAAAATGGCTAGATTTTAGAACTCTTTACAGATTTTGAGATTATTAGAGAAAAAGACTCTTGATATCTGAAAGGGAAAAGAATTGGGGCTGGAGGAGATGAATTGTTTCACTTTTTCACAGGACCAGTTCTACAATTAAAATCCTCAAGTAAAAGTTTAAGGAAGAAGTAAATGGAGGATAGAAAGCACTACTGTGTATTAAACACCTGCTGAGTACTGGACACTGTTCATGTTATTCTTCTAATTTCTCACAACCAGCTCATAAAGTATACGTAATAATTGTCATTTTGAGAACAAGAAAAATGAAGCTTACGGATTAAATAAATTTCCTGAAGTCACATTGTTAGTAAAGTGGCAGGATTTTGAATCTCAGTTCAGGTTCCAGCAAAGATTATATTCTTTCCACTACAATAGAGAAAAAAATGTTTTTTAGAGAGACTGAATGAAAATATAGAAATAAAAAGTTCAAAAGTTAAGTGCACAAGTAACATGGAGAAGGAAACTCATATGCTCATTCTGTTTTAGCTTTCTTAGGTGATAAATTAGGAGTCACAAAACTACAGGATATTAACCGCATTATTGATGATATAATTATATAATTTTAAATGTTTTGAATAACAATTGAAATGAAAATATATAAAAATCAAAGTCAAAAGAAAATGTAAAACTTGTATATACTTTTTGGTATTTTACGATACTCATTTTGAGTGCATATTCATGTTACCTCAGAAATGTTTTAAAACTTAGGGTTAATTAGAATAATAGCTATAGTCATTTTGATTTCATTGAATGATATTAAAACAGCCTGATCGTGTTGTTACTTTTTTTAAAATTGAAGTAACTATCTCATCCTGCAATGTTTTCATTTATATTTCTAAAATCTGTTCTTTGTAAACCAGCCCAAACCAATTATGTTAATTTCCTAAGAACACTGGTCAATTGGGTTTCCCTCTAGCCTTTCAATCCTATAATCAATGCAAAATATAACTGGAAAAGTTAAAACATCTATAATTTTTAAAAACATCGATAATTTCTTCATTTATGGTCCAGTGGGAAAATAAGGCAGAGGGAACTGCTTGCCTAAATTCTCAAACGGAGTCAGGAACAAACTTCTAAGTCTGGTGCTTCTTGTGTTACACTGATAATTATTTCTGCTTGCTCATTCACTTCCCAGCTATATATCCTGTGACCCAATCCTGTCTGGTTGACATTCAGAATATTCAGGTGAGCCAAATTAGCCATGATCGAGTGATGTCGCACATACTTATCCTTTGACTTATCCATTCCTTGTGTCCTCAGCAACACAGCTGTGAACACTGGCAACACAATAGTTATTTATGGCTAAGTTACGCAGTCTTAGTTTGCTGCTATAATACTTCATGAAAATTAACTTTTTTAGAACTTTGAAATAAAAAAATATTTTAGGCTTCCTTATTTGTAATATACAGCAATGTTACTTAACCAAACTAACTCACTGTGTTGTTCTGAGGTTTGAAGGAGATAATACGTGAGGAAGGCATTTGTAAACTCTAAAAGAAGCATTTTAACATAAAGCAATGTCATGGAAAGCCAACAAAATTACACAGCTTACAGCTATATTTAAAATTATAAGCTTTCTAGAAACTATAGTTTATGTATTTCATTGGTTTACAGGGATGAGTGAAAATTGATATTTTCTGACAGTTTGAAGAAAAATAAGCTTAGATAAACATCCTATTGTACTATTTCCTGTGGTCAACAAATAGTCTCTATTGGTCTGCTATGTTCTTTCTCTGTGTATTTAAGCTAAAATCTCTCAATCCAGAAATAAACATTTTATTCTGAAATCTTCTATTGACTATTGTATCTCATCAGGCTAACATCTCTTTCTCTCCTTTCTTTCATTTTCTAAGTCCACTGTCTCCACTTCCCTCCTACCCATTCACTTCTCTCCTTGCAACTCTTCTCGCAAAACTCAGTGATGACTTCCTAATTGCCAGATCTGAACATTTTAAATCCAGCCTTGATATAATCAAGTTTTATTGACTATTCAATCTTTCTGGAAATGTTCTTCATCCTTATTTGCCAAGGCACTCTCTCATAATACTCCTTGAAGAAGACTCTTTGCATCTTCCAGAAATTCTTGCTTGACTCCTCTGCTTCTTCCCTCCTCCAAGTGCAACTTTTCTCTGAAGCCCTACCTTAGTCCTCTTCTCTCCTCCATTAATCTTGATATAATATAGTGAGAAGAACTGGCTTCGGTATAACACTAAATTTTCCTCTCTATAAGGATGATATATTTCTTTATTTGTTTAGGCTTTCTCTTATATTTCTTGATAATGTTTTATAATTTTCCTATTAGAGATCTTGCATAAATACTTTTTTCCAGATATTTGATATTCCTTGATGTTCACTTTGATTATTATAAAAGTGTCTTTTTGTTCATTACATTTTCTAGCTTTTGCTGCTTGTATGTAGGAATACAATTGACTTTCTATATATTGCTCTGAAATCCAGTCATTTTGCTAAACTCTTCTTTTCATTCTATTCAATTATTTGTGGACTCTTTTGGATTTTCTATGTACATGTCTATAGCTGACTAATAGATTAAGAATAGTTAAGATACTTCTGAAGAGTAAGGAAGAGGAATTTGCTCTACTAGATAGTGGGATTTACTGTTAAGACGTAGTAATTAAGACTGTGCAGTAATGGCCCAGGCAGAGATAAATGAATCAGTGAAACAGAATAGAGGGACCAGCAGCTTGTATGCAAATATAGCTTATGCTCAATCCAATTCTACTTTCATTTCTAAAATACCACTGAAACCACTTGTAAGATCCCTAATTATGTCAACTTGCTAAATATAATGAACAATTCTCAGTCCTGGTTTTTCTTCCCTTTTCAGCAGCACTGGCACAATTGATCATTACCTACACATGGAAGCACCTTCTTCACTTGGCTTCCAGGATACCACATTGGTTTGCTTCCTAAGCCACTAGACACTGCTTTCCAGTTATCTTTTCTGGTACCGACTTATTTCACCAACCTCTTACTTTTGTCATAAGGACTATCTGAAGGCTTAATCATTGGTCCTCATCTTATCTCTAATTAAATATTCTTTATTGATGAATTCAACAACTCTCATGGTTCCCAACATTTACCTATATGCCCATGAATCCAATCCATGCTTCTATATCCAATTGCATATCCACACTTGAATTTTTAATAGAATTATAAACTCACCACGTACAAATTTTACCTCCAGTTTCACTTCCCAAACCTGCTTGACCTGAAAACTGCCCCTTCTCACTCGATGGCAGCTCTATTCTTCCAGTTGAACAAATTAGAAACTTTGGAGCTATCTTGTATTACACTTATTTTTGCTCATGCTCCATGTCCAATCAGGAAATCCTTTTGCATCTGCTTTTAAAATATATCCATCTTTAGTGTCCAGAAAGTAATCTCTAAATACTATTCCTTATTAATAGAACCATGTCCTTAGAGACATGGCTGATTGAAGGTCTGGAGCAGAAATTCTGCTATGTTGTTAAACCAGAGTGCAAGGAAGCTGTCAAAGACCGTTAAAGACTTAGGAGCCAACTTGAAGGCATAGCTATTGAGAACACTTATAGTAATTTCTCATCAATAAGAATTATATACACAGTGGACTCAAACCTACCAAATACGTTTATATTACCAGTTTATTATGGTACCTCAAAGAAGCACACACACACAGTAACACACCTTGGCCAGTCATCTATAGAGGATGCTAGCAAAGCAACTCATTATTTTGAAAACTGGTAAAAATAAGAATGTGAGATCAAGTTTTATTTTCCTGTACCTCAAAATGATCAAATAGTTAATTGGGGAAATTTTCTTCTCATGCAAGTTTTTTGTACTGCCTCATAACCTCTTGCTTTACTTTCTGTTCTGGCCATTACTTAGGACTGTTTCAGGTAGCTGTAACCTAAAAACACATTGCCTCAGCTGTACCACTAGTCTCTTTCTGTTTGCTCTGGGGAGACTCAGTCACTTTAGTGTGGAACACTTGCTGAAATCTTCCTGGCACTCAGTACATACACAACCTAGAATAAAAAAAAGTTAATATCCCATAAATTGGCCACTGGCTAGTGGAGGACCAGAGCCAGAGGATAAATTTGCCTCTTCTGTCCTTGAAAAGAAATGTGTGAAGTACATTCTACACAGGTACTCTGGAAATCCAGTAAGATTGTATCTCAGGTGCCCACAATGGTGGCCAACTCAACAGCATACCATTCTGTTGGCTTTCTCTCCTTCCCTCTTTCATTCTTCCTAATCTTGTTTCCTGGAATCACTTTTTATAATAAATTATCAGCATCCAAGTCTTTGTCTCAGGCTCTACTTTCTGGAGTAAATGAAGAAAAAATAAAAATATTCCAGCTAATAATTGAAGAAAAAATGTTAGAAGAAGAAAATCCCCATTTTTAAAATATCTAATGAAATACTGGGTCAAGGCAGTAACCAGAAATGGTCATTACCATTCCTAAAAGAGATAACCAAACATGTGGCTGCTGATAGGTGTTCATAAAAACCATCTATGAAGAATTCTGGTCAAGTCTCTAGATATTTAACAGCCAATTAACAGGAACTAAAGTTAAGAGAGGAACACGATTTAATGACACTATAATAATGTAATCAGAAGAAATCCAGGATATACGAAATTTCATAGGACAAATAGCCCAGTTTCTTTATAAAATAAATTGCAAGGAAAAAACTAAAAGGAGATTTGTAGATTTTTGAAGATTTAAGAGACTTACAAATCAATTATAATTTAGTTATTAATTCAATCTAATTAAAAAGTTAGTACAGTATAAGGCAATAAAGGAAATTTGAACACTGATTTAATACTTGATGATGTTAAGAATTTAATCTTACTTGAAAAATGTGATAGTCTATTTTTGTTTTAAAAATGTTCCTTATCTTTTAAGATTACATATTGAAATATTTATGAATAAAATGATTTGCTGTCCGGAACTTGCTTCAAAATAATCTTGTAAAGCAAGGAGTGGGAAGTCGTAGATTTAAAAAAAAAAGTTGGTCATAAGTAGATCATTATTGAAGTTGGAAGGTGGGTGCATGTGGGTTTATTATTCTATTCTTTGTACTTTTGTATAAGTTTGAAATTTCCCATTATAAAAAGTATCCAGAATTTAATCATCTACTGACACTACTTTCACTATCACTAGCCCAGGTGGAGCTACAATTATCTCTCACCTGAATTTTGCAATTGGTCACACTGATTTCATTCGTGCCCACTTCTACAGCCTATTCTCAGCACAGCTGACAGAATAACTATTTTAAATTTAAATCGTATCAAGTCACTGAAGGCAGAATATGGTGGCAGCAGGGAGAAACATTAGAAGTTTTTTATAATAATGAAAGCTTGAGATCATCATGGCTTGGACCAGACAGGTTGGTAATGGCAAAGATGGTGAGATGTGAATCATATTCTGATATATTTTGAAGCAGAATCAATAGAATTTATTGATGGATTATACAGGGAGTGGGAAAGAAATAGAGGAATCTAGAGTAATTTCAAGGTTTTGACATAAGAAATTGTGAGAACAGAATTTATGTTTATTGTGATGAGAACTACTGGCAGAGTGTGTTTGATAGAGAAAGCTGCAATTTAAGAATTATGTTTGCATCATGTTAAATTTAGTTGTCTATTAGACAACCGAGTGAGATGTCAAATAAGAGTTGGATACACATGTGTCTGGACTTTGGGGAAGAGATCCAAACTGGATTTGTCCATCTGTGGACATGTTTTTAAAAAATGGGGCTAGATGAGTAAATGGAGATATAGGAGAAATGTGATGCAGGATGGAACCCTGGAACACTTAAGAATTCAGGGAGATAAAAATATTAGTAAAACAACAAAGGAAACGGAAAAATGTTGAGTGAAGTTAGAGGAGTACTCAGGGAGGGGTATTCCAGAAGGCAAAAGAAGAATATGTTTCATGAGGGAATCTTTTTTAATAGAAACAGAAACACAACTCATATGTGGGAAATGGCCTTCCAAGTGCCACTTGTGATAGGCACCCATACACGGCTAGGAATTTAACCTAAGGAAACAATGAGCAGGTTTGAATGCCTTGTGGATTTGTTCATTTATGTCACAAAAACATAAGGAAGAAAAACCCATTACTTGTCAACTAAAAAAAAAAAGAAAAAGAAAAAGAAAATGTTTCATGAAGAAAGAGCATATAGCACTGTCAGTAGCTTAAGTTAATTAAAGGCTGAGAAATACACACTGGATTTTGCAATGTGGTATTCAATAGTGTCCTTGCCAAGAGCTGTGTCGGAGAAGTGGTGTGGAAGAAAGCATTATGAAATGGAGTCAAGAAAACATGTGGGAAGATGAAATAAGTAAAAACTAGTATTTCAATGAGTTTTGTTGTAAAAGAAAGCGGGGATATGGGACAGTACTTAAAAGGGGATATGGGCCAAAGGAATATTTTTAAAAATTTTTACTTTTGAAGGGACATAGTGCCACATTTTTGTTTGCTGATGGAAATAATCTAGGAGCGAGAGAAAATGTGATGATTAAAGAGCAATAGAATAATTCCAGTGGCAAGTCCTTGTGTCAATAAAAGGGAATGAGAGGAGGACACATCTAGAGAGCTTGTTCTCAGAGAGATGCAGAGATAATTAATCAAAAGGAACAGCTACAAAGCAGGATATATGACCACAGATGCAGATGGTTTATCTGAGACAATGTGCATATGAATCAAACACAGAAACATAACAGGATTGCTGGGCAGCACTGAAGCCACAGGAGATTGATAGTCCTGAAGTTACAGTGAGACCAGTCATCGTGGTTGCATGTTTTTTTCCAAACATGTTTGGTTGTGCTTGTGCTGGCATGTAATAAGTGGGGAATTGGATTTAACCTGGGTTAAGATTTTGCCTGGTAAGTAAAACAAATGCCTATTTCAACTTCTAGAACATGGAAATGACTGTTGAACCAACGCCTCAGCTTTTCAGAAGCATAATTTTCCTCTGACATTCAATACAGTCATGCCCTACATAACAATGCTTAGATCAACAATGGACTGCATATATGATGGTGGTCCCATAAGATTATAATACAGCTGAAAAATTCCTATCGTCTAGTGATGACACAGCCATTGTAATGTCATACAACAGTACATTAGTTTTTCTATGTTTAGAACATATACCTTAGCTTTTCTATGTTTAGACACACAAACATCATTGTGTTACAATTGTTTGCAGTATTCAGTACAGTAACATGCTGTATGGGTTTATAGCCTAGGAACAACAGGCTATACCACATAGCCTAGGTGCGTAGTACCATATAGGTTGATGTAAGTGTACCCTGGAATGCTCCAACAATGACGAAATGGCCTAGTAATGCATTTCTCAGAATTAATCTCCATCATTAAGCAACTCGTGACTATTTATTTTCTATTCCTGGCACAAAATGAGCATTCTATAAATGTTTGTTTAATAAATTACAGAGTCCCTATAGTGTCACTGGTTAGAAGTATTCGTTATAGCAAGGCCAAGATCAATATTGGACTACCTATTTTAGTTACTAAATCTTAAGCATTAGTCTTCTCAGGAAAAATTAGACAAAGTATTATGTAGTTTAAAAGTGCATTTCGTTTGATATTTTAATCAACACCAGTGGTATATTCTTTACATCTGTTGCAATATATTTCATTAACAAGTAATCTTAGAAAAATGAATTTCAATTAAGAGAGAATCTAAAGGTTAGCTGTTTCAGCTGCATCTGAATATATTTTTAGGATTAGTCCCAGCTTTACTCACATTAGATATCTAATAGAATAATTCATATCGTATGTAATTTATTTGGAGTACCAGGCAACAAAATAACCCATTATAACTGGACACTTTCAAAATAGTAATTATCCTGTTTGACAAGAATGATATTTTATTGTTATATGCAAATTTAAAATTAATACAGTGTTCTCTAAGTTAATAAACAGTGATTGTCATGACAGTTCAGCAAAATCTTAATGATATTAATATTTTCCCATGAAAATCAATAAAAGACACAGATGCCCAATACTTCTTCTATTCAACATTTTTAAGGTCCTACCTAATGCAATAAATCAGAAAGTTTAAATGAGCCTTATATTTGAAGAATAAATAAACAAAACTATCATTATTTGATGATATGATCACTGACATAAAAGAACTATCTAAGAGGATCACCCATCAAACTATTAGAATGAACAATTAGAATTAATCCATTCAGGTAGACAGATGAAATACCAGTCTTTAAAAATCTGTAGCTTGCCTTTATGCAAGCAACCATAAGAAATGGAAAAAGAATAAAAGGTTCTATTTATTAAAAAAAAAAAATCAACAACAACAAAACTACAATATGACTGGGAATAAACCTGACCAGGCCTGACTCAGAAAAACATGTTAACTGAAGAACATATATGACATATAAGTTCAGAGATACATTATATTTGTTTATAAGAAGACTCAGTATGCAATTTCTCCCTAAGATTAATATGTGAATACAGTGTAATTCTCACTTTCAATATAATTTTTTCGTAACTTAACAAGCTGATTCTAAAATTGCATGAAAGAGTACATGAGAAAGAGTAGCAAAGATAATTTGGATAAAAATGAAAAAGAAAGGGTTTGATCTGCTAGTTACCAAAACAGGTATTACTTTTTTAATACAGGGTTACACAGAAATACAAAAACTACAGTAATTATATCTACTATTAATAGAACAATAATAATTAATAGTAAAATGCCCAGGAATGATTCTATGCACATAAGGAAATTTACATTATGATAAAAGTAGAATTTTAAATTAGTAATAAAATGTGGACTATTCATCAAATGGTGTCAGGAGTATCTGCTATTCATTTGGGAAAAAGAATAAAGTTACATTCATACCTCACACATGAAAATACATCTCAGAAAATCTGAAGATCTAAACAACAATAACAATATAACTATAAAATAATTAGAGGAAAATATCAGAGGTACATTTGTTTTGAAGATAGGGATAGCCTTCTTTAGCAAGATGTCAAAACTGAAATTAAAGGAGAAAGAATTTATATATCTGGCATTATCAAAATAAAAACTTCTTTCGGGCAGAGAAGTCATAAACAAAATTAAAGCTCAAGAGATGGATTGGAAAAATATTTGCATGAATATAACAAATGTCTTCGATATTCAAAATCTTTTAAAATTAGGGATTAGTAAGAAAAAGCAAATGTTGCAATAGAAAAAAATGTGCAAAAACATGAATAAGCAATTCACAGAAGAAATACATATATTCAATAAACATAAGAAAAGAAGATAAACTTAACTAGTACTAATAACTAGGAAAATGCAATTTCAAATGTGAGATAGCATGAAAATAAAAAATTTAAAGCTTTATACTGAATGCTGGTAAGGGTGTAGGTTGTCTAGTATTCTACAAGCACTGTTAGGTGCAGCCACTTGAGAGAGCTATTTGACAGAATCAATAAAATAAATGCCTCTTCTTTATAATCTAGCAATTATATCACAATATGTACTGTAGAGAAATGCTTGATCATGTATACAAGGATATACACAGCCACATTGTTTGTAAGAGGGAAAAAGTAGAAACAAACTAAATGTTCTTCACTAGAAAAATGGGTTAACTATGGGTACATCCATTCTCAAGGACAGTATGTGTAGTTAAAAAAAAAATGGGAGAGATGTATAGGAAACAACACGTAGATATCTCCAACATCTATTATTGAATAAAACCAAACACATACGAGAAGTTGTTCAGTGTTACTTTTTATTTAAAATACCTGTGTACACAAAACAACAAAATACTATGATATATATTCTAAGTGAACACACATTTGAATGTGAGTGTTTATCACAAGGTCTGAACAGGTAACACTGTTAAAATTAGTTATTATTTGTAAAACAATTTAAAGCCCATCTGATGTTTTAACTCTTTTTTCAGATAATAAATATATTCTTCAATAAGGTCTTTCCAAAAGTGGCACAAATTATGTTAAAGTAGCCTTTGTTATAGTGTATCTAGATAGGTGAGTGATAGATGAATGACATAAAGCGATAGATATTCCTTGGAAGGTAAGAATAAGCCTCTGTATGTGATTTTCCTACTAATGTCCCTATTCTATTGATAAATGAGATATCATACTATTTCTGGGTTTTAAAATGGCAATTTTGTTAAATTTTTTAAATTACTGAGAAAATACTTTAGAATCAATGTAGTTATGGATACAAGAAATATATGTGGGCGTTTAGGAAGCCAGGACACCCGTAACCTTATTCCAGATGGCCTAATAGTTTACACGCAAGACTATGTTTGAAATGCTACTTTTTATGCACAAGTAGTGAAACTAACAACGTAATAGCAGCTTGTGAACATTTTCATGCTAGTCAAAACCTCAAATGTAAGGAAAAAATGATAAAATGTCCTTTATTTATGTAAAGTACATCAGGCATTCACACTTTAGAAATATTGCTTTTTAAAACGTGGTTCAAAACAGCTCTAATGGATCACCAGGGAAAAGATGATGAAAACAGAGATTCAATTCAACAGGTGTTAATGCTGTGCATTTTTCAGCAGTACTGGTGTTTGCAGCAAGAAATAGAAATTAAACGGATACTTCTAAGTCTTAAGAAGGCTGCACATCCTCTGGTTCTTTCATACTAGTATAACATTGTAAAGTCCATTAAAACTTTAGGAAATAGACGTTGCTAGTATTCAAATAATAACATTTAAGTAAGCAAAAATAATATAGATTTCATTAGGTACTTAAGAAGGTCATTTAAAATGTCACAATAGAAATTATACTTAAAAAATAAGAATATGTGACCTCAGGAAGCTAGGTGAGGTGGTGTGCACCTGTAACCCAAGCTACTCCAGAGGCTGAAGCAGGAGGATCTCGAGCCTGTGTTCAAGCCTGTAGTGTGCTATGATCATACCTATATGCATTCTAGCCTGGACAACATAGTGAGACCCCCATCTTGAAAAAAAATGGAAAAAAAATTAATTGTGACCTCAGGAAATAAGAAAAAGTTCTTAGGAGTATTATTAGAAGGATTTTAGAAAAAAAAACTTTGAGAAATAGCAGAATTTTTTTTTTCTGGAAGGAAATAAAAGTTCTAACTCTGTGAACAAGGACATATAAGAAAGACACAGTGATGAGAATCTAGGTTGAATTTTTCAGTTATTAAGGAAAATAAGTTGAAAAAGTGACCTCTAGTGGGCTCTTAGCTTCACTGATAAAGTAGGCTCTTTTCATGTTTGAATAAATATAAGTTTTTATTATAAATATAAATGGCTAAGGGCATAGAATCTGGATAACATATTTTAAAAACACTCTTAGTAACATAATGTATTTATTTGGATTGCTTTCCAAATTTAAAAATCATTGCTTCAAAAGGATTTCACAAATTATCTTAATATGATCTAATATGTTTAAAATAAGATAAACTGTAAAAACTACTTTTCACACATGGCATGATATTTATTGGTCAAAAATGCATTTCCAATTGGCCTATGACAGATACAAATTAGATTCCTGAGAAATGAGTGATGGAATCTCATCAGCACATGCATTTCTGGGACTGATGTTTCATTTCTTTTGCCTTTCATATAGCTGGTCTGTGGCACACCTCTCCAAGACTGACCAGACAGCACATGCTGGTTTCCCGAATTCTAAAATAAGATTAATCCTCTGCAGCAGTCCAGATCCTCTGCTGCTGAACAAGTGCCATAAACCAGCCCCAGTTGCTTCCTCACTTCAGGATCTTAAAGGAAATCTATTTACAAAGCTCACGTTGAAAACAAGATGTTGATTTATGGCGGTGTAATGAAATAGTAAAAATAGAAGAGATCTTCATTAAGATAAAGATGCAATTTCTCTTAAAAGGCATCATAAATTATGTTTTTTTTAAAGATAGCTGTCTTTTCCAAAGAGTAAAATAAAAAGTAAGATGATATTTATTACAGAAAATGAGAAATATCTTCACAAACTATGTTTTCATTTAAACATAAAAATCCCAAGCAAGTTCTAAAGAGCATGTGGAAATATGCTGAAACATCTTGAACTATCATTTTATTCTCTTCCTAACATAGGAAAATTGTCATAAGGTTAGGGAATTTTTTAGAAGCTGAACTTTATAGATCTTCCCCAACTAAATATTGTCGTTTTATAGTATTAGTGAGGTTTCAGTAACTGTTGAAAACTTCTGCTAGTTCAGCTCCATACTTACTTGGAGAAATATGAATATAAAATGGGGGTGTGTAAGCTTAGTATTACTTTGATTTACTTTTCATACATACTTCAAACTTCATTCAGACAGAGACTGAATCAAACAAGGATTAAAATTTACCCTATTCTCCATGATTTTTTTACTTCACTCTGTTGTAAGACAGAAACTACAAAACCATGAGTTTTTTTGTCATTATTAATAGCTACTTAGATTTTGATTATTCTAGGTCCTTTAGAAAAGAAGAGCTCTGAAAGATTATTTTAAGGGATTAGCTGGTTTTTCTCCAAAGTCATATAGATATTTGAAAATATTTTACATAGAATCATTTTTAGGGCTTTCATAGGATAATATGCCTTTATTCTTTTAGAATACAGATTCCTTAGTGACCATTTGACGACTTGTCTCACTAGTGGATACAACCGCTCAGAATGCATCTTGCATCCTTTAGTAGCCAGCTTATCAGGACCTCCCATGCTGCTCACTCCAAGCATGAGTGAGCAAACAGGTCTGGCTGTGTGCCCTAAAGGCCAGCATTCCTGGGCTCCACCAGACCACCAGGGAAGGGAACTCCTGAGTGCTGAGATTCCAAACGAGTCTGGGGGAATGGGTTTTTACTCAAGATGTTTGGGGAAAATAAGGACTCTATTCTGAGGAGTAGAGGAGCCCATGGTTCACATCCCAAGTTGATTTGTCTTAGTTAATTTTCCACCTACCAGTTTCATGAAAATGAACAAGCTGTATCCCAGGACATCTCCTTTCATAGTTTCCCAACATCTTCTTTACTGCACAGAAAGAACACAGGAAACACCTCTCTTTTTATTCACAAAACAAACAAAAGGGTTTATAGCCCTAAAGTTTAGAAACCGCAAGGCAATGGAAGATTCACAAAGACCTACAGAGGAGGATTATGAAAATAATATATTCAATATATCTAGTGCCTATCAGCCTATCATTTGACTTGGACTTCCATATTTTATCTCTAATCTTTACCACAACCATATATAGTTGTCAATATTCCAGTTTACCGGGAAGAAAACTGAGATTCAGATAAGTAAGGCGACTTGTCAACAGCACTCATTCCAACAGAGCACAACCACTGAATGGTACAGGGAGTGCCACGGTCTTTCTGACTCCACTGTACCTGTTTTTGTTCTACTTCCCAAGACAGTCTAGAGGGGCAAAGAAGGGCAGTGGTCACTCCTTAAGCCATCAGGACTCTCAATATCTGAATAATCATTTTTATTAGCTGCCTAACCAATAATTCTGAACTCCGACTTAGCAAGTTCTGTCCCACCAATGTATTATACTAAAAAGAAAACAAAACAAACAAAACAAAAACTGCCACTTGTGACTTTTCTCAGTCTACCTAGAAGTCAAATACATCCACTCAAATACACAAAGATATTAAAGATATCAAATATAATTCCCAAATGAAGAATCTGCTTTTAATGTAGATATAGAAAGCTTTCAGGTGGCTTGTGTAGGTTGTCAATTAATATACTTTTAGAATGCAGCAAAAAGAAGACAAAGAATTGCTATGCTTTGGGATATTGAAAAAGAAACAAAAGGCTTTGAATCTCTGAGGCATTTTTTTGACTTTAGAACACTAGAATATCCTCGGCTGCTTGCCAAATAAATGTTTGGTTGAATATAAATAAGCTTATTATCATGCATGTTTATAAGTGCATACAATACAATTGAGGGTTAATAAAACATTTTATACCTAAGCATACTGATATTTTACCAGGAAAAAAAAAAGCATTTTAGTATGCCTATGTTTCTTAGACATTTTTCATCTTAACACTTTCCAAATTCTGAGTACCAGCAGCATTTCCAAAGTACTTCATTACACTACAGCTTCTTACTATTATAAGCCACAGAAAATACATGAAATTTAACATGTATAACTTCAGAAATCTCTTCTCATTTACCATGGCAAAGATCCTTTAACTTTCTAAATTCACCTTCCCTGAAATGTGTATCAAATGAATGTGCATTTGAGTAATAAAATGAAAAAAAAAATAATAAAGTCAGAACAAAGTTACCTTTTAAAGTATCCATTCCACAGGTCTCCACTTAGAATGCCTTCTTTAACTGGAATGGAATATTTTAATTATAGGTTATGCTATGGTTTGAATGTTCCCTTCAAAACTCATGTTGAGACTCAGTCTTCAATGTGGCAGTACTGAGAGGCGGTGACTGACTCATGAGGGTTCTGCCTTCATGAATTGATTTATCTATTCATGGATTAATGGATTAGCGGGTTATCATGATAGGGAAACTGGTGGCTTATAAGAAAAGAAAGAGAGACCCGAGCAAGGACATCAACATGCTCAGTCCCCTCACCATGTGACGCCCCACCAAAGAGAGTCTCCACCAGCAAGAAGCTCTCACCAGATGTGCCTCATCCACCTCGGATTTCCCGGCCTCAACAACTGTAAGAAATAAGTTCCGTTTCTTTACCAATTACCTAGTTTCAGGTACTGTGGTATAAGCAACAGTAAAGAGACCAACACAGATTACTAGGTAGGGCATCATCTCATCATTATGCTTGTTATTTGGTACTGCTACCAATACAATTTAAGGAAATAATGCTATCTTAAAGAGAATGATAATGGTAATCAGTTGACATATGTATCTGTTCAAGGAACAGATATATTAAATTATGTTGAAATTTAAGACATAGGTCAATCTAAGAGGGTTTTGAAACCTACAGAAATTGTTTCTCTAATGACATGTGTGATTACTTTCAATTTGTTCTAGTCACATCCAACTGTTGTTTCAAATTATATATATATAAAATATATATAAATATATATTTAAAAGAGGTACTGCATTATTTTATATATATTTAAAAGAGGTACTGCATGTTTATATACATTTATATATATATATATATATATATATATATAAATGTATATAAATTGCTGAAGCTACCTACCTGAATAATTTGAAGACAATATATAAAAGGCTGGTGCCACGGATAATGAAAGTGATGTGAGGCAGCTACACAAGCTGACAGGAGAAAGAGTATTTCACATTATAAATGGAAACTTTTACTTCTCAAACTAGTTGAATCTGATGACCATATAATTTGTATAGAAAATGCAGTTGAGAGAAGCAGTTAAAATATTCTAACAAGGCGGGTAGTTTCCAGCTTCACATTTGGGACTTCATTCCAAATTTATTTTTCCAAACTTTATTCAGAATAAATGTAAACTGAAAAATTAACCTTTTTTTGTCTTTTTCGTTTTCTTTTCTTTTTGTGTGTGTGTGTGGTGATAGGATAGAAGGAAAAAGTGAGAAAAGTTACTAGAAATATTATAATTAGCCTCCCTGTGTGTCTTATCTCTGGACAAAGCCTCAAACAGAAGTTTGATATCAATTTTTTTCTAAGTACTCTATTTTATTAATGATCATGTATTATAATATGCAGTTTCTCACAACTAATTATTTAAAAGTTGAGTGCTGATAGCAAACTTCCTCTCGGTAGTATTTCAAGACACCTACTAATTTACCATGCTTCCTTATTTTTATTAGACTTATTGACATTTTCACATTAAGTTCATTCTGTTTGAAAGGGAAGTCTTTTGGTGACACTTCTAAATACTGTACAGAAGGAAATTGTATCCAACAATTGGAGCAAGAACAATTTGATAACTTAAGCTCCTTGCGTTATACCATCTGAAATAAAATCTTTTCAGAGGTCCTGCACATCATATGGTTAACTAATTAAGGATTGTGACATTCTTGGGACATACCAAGGGCAACTAAAAGGGAAGTATCTTTAAACTCCCCTTTCCTTTCCTGGCCTATAGAAAGAAAGGCTCTTATAGAATTACCAGTAGTTAATATCATCCTGTGTATTTGTTAAAGGTCAACAAGAGTAAATCAGTTAATAACAACTTCCTAAAAGTTTAGGACAGGAAACAATAAACGATGTTATACTCAAATAAAAGTTGCAAGGATAATTTAGCTGGATAGAGTGTAATTGCTGAAGTTAAAATTAGCCAGGTCACCTTACTCTCATGGAAAAAAAAACTCTGGAAACCTGGCAACCAAATAAATAGATAGGAAGTTCCTTCCCATTAATAAACTTCTTTTAGTTCTATGCTGAAATGTTATTTCAAGGACACACACCAAATAATTCACCAATACTACTTTCTAAACCAAGTTTGGTCACTCACCTAACTATTACAGAGACCTAAAACATAATAAATATAAGTGTATATTATAACTACTTAATCTAATTATATTAGAATTGAAAATATTTTATAAATTACATAGTGTAACCCCATTGTTTTAAATGAGGAAACAGGTCCAGAGAAGTGACTTACCAATGTTTGGTCAGCTATGTTTACATTGGCTGTTTACCATACTACTGACATTCTGTGGGTGGTAAATATTTTTCAGAATTACCTGTAAGTGTTTTTAGCATTCTAGCTCAATGTTTTTGAGAAAGACTATGTTCAACTTTATTGCTCAATATATATAGCAGCAGCGTATACCTTTAAGTGATTGCTAAATATATAACTCAAAAGTTAAAAGTGATTTAGCAGCTAAACAGGAAAGACATCTTTTAAATAACAAAGCATAATTACACACTATCAAAAACCATTTAAAAACATTGCTTGTACTAACCATTCTGTGGTTTAAAACTTGAATTACAAGAAGATGATTCCGCCTGTCTTCCACTAGGTGGCAATATATCTTTTTCTTTAATAGTTTGTTCTTTCCCGGGCTCTGATTTTAAATGGATCTCTAGTATTTTTACTTTGAATAGATACGATGAAAGTTAAGATTGAGGAAACCTTAAGGAAGACACTTAAGAAATTGGGATATACGAGGGGAATAGACAGGGTGGTTTTATAAAAACCTGGCATCAAAACTAAAATAACAGATTCTGCTTCATATATGTTCATAATTAAAATTTACATTATATCTTACCAGATAACGTTAAACATTTGGTAGTTGTTTGTTGATTTAATTGAAATTGGGTTTGCTATTCATTATTGGTAGTGAAAAGCACTGAAATTATTTCTAGTCCTGCTCTTTCTTAATCCTTTTATTTAAAACATCATCCTCAAGGTTAGATCATGATATTTTAAAAGGCATTACTTATTTCCATAACCTGTTTTCAATCATGACTTTGGGGGAAAAAACTACAAAATCACTTATTTTTGTATAGTTAAGCCTTTAATTTAGTGTATTTATGTCGATACTTAGAGATATGTTGTTTCTGAACTAATTAGACGAACATTATTTTCTTCAAAGTAAGATAGGTTTCAGTGAACTATTTGACTAGTGTATTAGTTTCTCAGGGCTGCCATAACAAAATACCACATATTGGGTGACTTAAACAACAGAAATTCATTTCCTCACAATTCCGGAGGCTAGAAGGCCAAGAACAAAGTGTTGACAGGTTTGGTTTCTTCCGTGGTCTCTCTCCTTGGCTTGCAAATGGTCACCTTCTTACTGTATCCTCACATAGTCGCCCCTCTGTCTGTGTTATCTGTGTCCTAATCTACCCTTCATATAAGGACATCAGCCCTATTGGATTAGGACCCAACCAATAACTTAATTTTAAAGGCCCTAAATCCAAATACAGTCACATTCCAAGGTGTTGGGCGTTAAGACCTCAACATATGAACTTGGGTGAGGGGAGGGGCATAATTCAGCTCATAATAACTAGCAAGTCTGCATACACAGCATACTCCACATTTATAACCGACGTATTGTGATATAGAACCAAGAATGCTAGGTTGGAAGTTGTAATTCAAAAGCTGAGAAAAGTTCTTATAGATTATTTAATCCACTGATTCTTGACCCTTGATGCACAAAGATTTTTTTGAGGCACTAGCAATGCCCTGACAAAATACCCAGATATTATGATGAATTAATTTGGAGAGGGACCAGTCACTAGTATATTTTTAATACTTTCTAAATGTTTCTAATAGGACCACAATGAATAATCATTGATTTAGACAAATATTTCCCAGACGTGGTTAGAGAATCATCCAGAGGGTTTATTAAAATGCAAATCACAGGCCAGGTGCAGTGTGGCTCTTTCCTGTAATTCCCAGAACTTCTGGAGGCCAAGGCCGGAAGATTGCTTGAAACCAGGAGTTCAAGACCAGCCTAGGTAACAAAGCAAGACCCCATCTATACAAATTTAAAATAAAATTATCCAGGCACAGTGACATGCACTTGTAGTCCCAGCTACTCGGGAGGCTGAGACAGAGGACTGCCTGAGCCCAGGAGTTGGAGGCTGCAGTGAGCTATGATCACACCATTGCCCTCTAGCCCAGGTGACAGAGTGAGTCCCTATTAAAAAAAAAAAAAAATCAGTATCCTAGCCACTGCTGCCCTCATTCTGAATCTCCAGAAATTAGAGCCAAGCCTATTTACCACTCTCCCTAGTAATTATTACAAATTCTGAAGTCTGAGAATCTCTGATCTCATCTAACTCTCTCATTTACAGATGAGAAGACTGGAGTTTAGAGAAGTTAGTTCATTCAAGGTTACACAGCTGGAGAATGGTGGAGGCAGAATGAGAATAAATGTTTAATCTGACTTCTAATCTAATTTCTTAGCAGGATTCTTTGTGCTTATAAGCAACTGTGTGGACTTTAGACTTTATTTAGCAACTGTGTAGCCGTGGCCCCAGAATTAGAGGGCACCTACTCTTTCTTTCAGGCATGTGCTGACACATCTAGAAGGCAGGATCATCACAGCTATGTTTATATAAGGGTTGCATTCCAAGAGCCCTTATTGTGTTTGGAAATAATAAGCAACATCAGAACTGATGGGTGATTGTGAATACTGCATTATACCTGGTGCTCCTTTGGCCCCACCTCCTCAGACTCAGGCCTGAGTCCTAGGTGAATGGACACTGCAGTAGAAAGTTAAGTGACGTGAAGTGAATGGAAGAGTCTGTTTCCCTAGTACCAAAAGTTTCTGCAGCAAGAGTCAGTGGCGTCTGAATCACTTGAGGCCTAGAGTCACTCACCATCAGAAAGTGGCAGCCTCCGTGCAGTCATCAGCTGGCAGAGAAGCAGCAGTAGTTGACTAGCAGGCTGGAGTTGAGAGCAAAATGTTAGCTCAAGAGTTTTCAATTCTGCTGTTATTATTCATTTGAAAAACATAGCTTCAGACAGCTCTTGGGAGCTTGATGTCAGAGCCTGAATTGGTGAGGTTCGTGAACACACACATACAAATAAGTTGTGAAACAATTTTAGAAAATGAATGTGTAAAAATCCAAAAAATTCCCAGCACTTTGGGAGGCTAAGGCAGGTGGATAAGCTGAGGTCAGGAGTTCAAGACCAGCCTGGCCAACACGGTGAAACCCCGTCTCTACTAAAAATACAAAAAATTAGCCCAGCGTTTTGGCGGGCGCCTGTAATTCCAGCTACTTGGGAGGCTGAGGCAGGAGAATCGCTTGAACCCGGGAGGTGGAGGTTGCAGTAAGCTGAGTTTGCACCATTGCACTCCAGCCTGGGCAACAAGAGTGAACCTCCATCCCAAAAAAAAAAAAAAATCCAAAAAATAAAAAGCAAATTCCTCAGAGGGTGATGGTAGATGCACACTATATTTTCCATAAAGATTTAGCTTAAACATTTTCTTGAATAGGTACTTGCTCATGCAATTACATTTTTCTTGTTCTTACTAATGACCCTAACTTGAGTGGGCAAGGAGGAGTAAAATGTGAAAATCAATCTGAAACAAAGATAGAACATAAATGAAGTTTTTTTAAAAGTCTGTATTTACAACAACATAATTCAATTTACTGTCCATATTTCTGGAACATAGCTATTTTCTAGACTGATGTACTCCTACATTTTAATTTAAGTCATCATAGGGCTAGTTCTAACCTCTCTTCGGTGTTTCAAAAGTGAGGATCAAGAGCCACCTACTCTAAAATCATCTGGTGCTGGTTGCTGAAAATGCAAGATTCTAGGTCCCACATAAGATTCATCAAATCTCTGAGGGTGCCTATGGGAAACTGCATTTTTAACAGCTACCTTGGTGATTTAGAAAGGTCTCTCCCTGTGTGATCTAACTCTACAGTGTCCTATGGATAGTATTACTTTTTCTTTCCTTGTGAGCTCTTATTATCTATGGTTTATAATAAAATTTTCTGAGGATGGAAGGATTGGGGGAAATTATCTTCTTTTTGAGCCTTTTCTTATGGAGTCAATAACATGGGGAAGTCATTGCCAGAGGTCCCCTCTTTTTAGCATCCTTATCTGATTTTCTATTTGGCCATGTGCCTGGGTCTTCGAGCAGGCTGCTGTAAAGAGCCAGTATGACAGGCACTCAGAAATTGTACATTAAACTTTAAATTTCTTCTCCTGAAATGTATTCAAAGGAAAGCCCCCATCCCAGAGAAGAGAGTAACTTGTGAATATATATATATATATATATATATATATATATATATATCTGAAATATATATATGAGAAATATATATATCTAAAATTCCAAGTTTCTATTTCTGAGTTGTTATAAATAAATGTATTTTGAATATTTAAAGGATTTAAGAAATTCAAATGTGAGCTGCTGGCAATCATATAACTTGATGAGACTTGTTTTACCATGCTATTAGCTTTACTATGCTTGGAATTAGATTTTTGAATGTTAGGTTTCCTAAATATCTCCCTGGCTTTAAGTTTAGGCATGTTTGGAGGTTTAATAAATACTTTCAGATGCAGCCTCAAAGTCAAATACCTCTGATTTGGAAGGAGTTTTAGGCATTATTACCCTGGTGGAGAAGTACCTCTGCATATCGATCCTTCATCTTTACTTAGACTGCTCCAAAATTAGAAATTAAGCTTTAAAAAGCAAATGGAGAAGCAAATACCTTCATGTAAATTCAGACTTTTTTTTTTTTTTTTTTTTGCTGTTTATTCACACAGGTGGCAATTTTGGATACTACCTCTTTGTTGGAGGGGATAGAACTCAGGGAAATCTAAGAGAGCCTAAAGGTAAGAGACGATTGAAAATGGGAGGTTCTGAGATGGAATTTAGGGAGCAGATCGAATGTCCCTGAAAATAAGCTTCATGGCATTCACCATTTATCCACCTAGCCCTGCTAAAGCAAATAGTTAAACTAGCACTGTCTACAAAAGCATTTTAATGAAAAAGTCAATTTACTCCTTCCTGAAGGCTAACTCTTATCTTTCTAGGAAGGACCTTGCAGGAATATTTCCTTTATTTTCTTTCCTCCTCCTTCGCTTAGCCCTGACGCTGGACCTCTTAGCCTAAAGAAGAACTGAACACTATGGATACTAAAATTTTTCTAATTACATGATTTGCATCCATTTGGGGGCTGGGTGTCACTGTTTGGCTCTGTTTGTCTTTCTCAAAGACCCAGTGAAATTTTGCCAGAGTGTAAAACAGGACTTTATTCATTTGTTTGAGAGAGAAAAAAGTCATCAATTGCTTAAAAAAAAAAAAAGTTTCACACTTCACAAAAAAATAACAAAACACAGAAAAAGTGGCACAGGCAATAGTATAACACCAACACACCCACCCAGAGATGAATCCTCAGAGAAAAGTGCAATCATGGTATGCCTGTCCAGATTTTAATCCTCGAAGCAGGTGTGCACAAGAGATCTTAGTCAACGGTGGGACTGATTTATGGATTTCTACTCTGAAACCCACAGTAAGGCTCTTCTCCAAAGAAAATGCCAAAAAAAAAAAAAAAACAGTATGAGAGGAATTTGGAATTGGTGGCTGGACATTTGTGGGAAAAGAAGTAAAGGGACAAAAAGTTAGATAAATTAATCCCATGATTATTTTTCTTCCCAATTTCTCTCTTCCTTCTTTCCATCCTTCCTTCCTTTTCTTTACTCCGTCCCTCTTCTCTTCTCCTTCCTTCCTTCCTTCCTCCCTCCCTCCCTCCCTCCCTTCCTTCCTTGTTTATTTTTTACTTAAAGAATTTATTCTCTAAATAATTTGGGAAAACAAGATATTGTATGCATTCTTCAAGTCTCTATGTTTTAGCAGCATTAGAGTTCTTTATGATTTTTTAAGTCATGCATTATTTTTAAAGATCCATTTAAAAACAGGAAAAAGCTTGAGCTGGAGTGAGGGATCCGTTTTGATCTGTAGAGGGAACATTGTCTTCATTAAGCACTGAGCACAGTGTAGCTTTCTAAGTAAGGTGCAATTTGTTACATAGTAACTAGGAAAAGGGATAAGCTTCTCTCCTGCATTGTAACCATACTTTCTACAGCATGGCAAATTATATCTAGAACTCCTCTTATAGCCTTTTCCATCCTTAGCATTAGGCTGACTTACAATTTTTAAGCACTAGGAACACGCTGTATTTATAATTTAAGATTATTACAGCTAAGCCAACTAAAATATATATATATAGTTATATACACATAACTGTGTATATATATATATATATATATATAGTTTTATGTGGGGTGCATGTGTGTGTGGAGTGTGTGTGTGTGTGTGTGTGTGTGTATATATATATATCATGAATGAACCTATAGGCTTACATGATATTATGTATCAAACATTTTTTCAGTGACTCTCCTGTAAGCTTGAGGCACAGAGTAAAATCCTGAGTAATTACATAAACAACCACAAAATCAAACCAGCGATTACTCCCACCTCTGGTTAAAAATGAGAAAAGATCATTAAAGTAAGTCAAGGTCACAAAAGATTTCTTATAGAGGTATGAGAGCATTTTGACTACCTGAGAAAGATAAGTTGAGGCTAAAAGCATATCTCTTTTACCAACATGGGAGTCAATCATATTCAATAGTACAAAAAGCTGCTACATGTAGAATTATATTTGCTTTTCAAGACACCGCTATGTGATAAGCCCACAGGTGGTATTATTCACATGTTCAAGTAAAGGAAACTAAGATAAATAAATGGAAAGGCCACAAAATTTGGAACCGGTTTCCTGACATAAGAGTCACTATTTTTTCATTACATTATCACATTCTCATCTTTCTGTTTCAGAGTGACAACCGTACTAACTACACAATGCTGAAACATGATGGAGTGGGATTCTCAGTAGCCCTTGGGTAGGCTGTGAGAATTAAAGCAAGTAAACACATGAAAAGCACTTAGAATAACGCCTGCCAGTTATGTGCCTGTGTGTGGATTAAAATGTTTATGTATGTCTGTATATATAAATATGTGTATCAGTTTGTAATATATACTTACATATTTGAACACATATGCACATGCCTGCACATATGCATAGATTTATATTCTAATGCTCACACACAACTTGAAAAGAGATAAGCAAATAATAATGAGCATAACCAGGTTAGCTATTCAAACAGAACACCTGTACCAGACCTCTAATCCTAAAGATTAAAATAAAAGAATTAAATTTTTTTCAGTTTCTTTATTCACTAGGCCTGGAGAATACAGGTTTCTAAAACGTTCTAAGTTCCATATCTAAAGTGGGAAAAGCAGAGGTTGCCTTAGGAATATGATTCATGAAGCAGAGGCAAAGAGCTCCGCAGCTGCTGCCCAGCCAGTTTACAAAGCTAGAAGGCAATCATTCAGGCCCACCAGCCTGAGGCATATGTTACTGCCTCAACGTTCTGGGCCTTCTGTCAAATAAAATGCATTTGGAGGAGGAAAAGGGAGTGAGAAGGCCCACCTTCTCACCCCAATCCCAGTTTAGCTCTTGGGCAGGCTAAATTTTCTACACCCCTTTGAGGTCATATTTCACCTTCAGGAAAAAAATGAAATTTCCAAGCTGGGAGAAACTGTTCAGGAGGCAGCTGGGGGTGTGTGTGTGTGTGTGTGTGTGTTGCGGGGGACAGTGTATGTGTGGTCTGGTGTGTGTGGTTGTGTGTGTATGTGTGTAGTGTGTGGTGTATGTACTGTGTGTGTGCTGTGTGTGTGGTATGTGTGTTGCATATGTGTGGTGTGTATGTGTGGTGTGCATGTGTGGTGTGTTGTGTCTGTACGTGTGATGTGATGTGTGGTGTGTGTGGTGCGTGTGTGGTGTGCGTATGTGGTGTGTGTGTATGTGTGTGGCATGGTGTGTATGTGTGGTGGTGTGGTGTGTGTGGTATGTGTATATGTGTGGTGTGGTGTGGTGTGGTGTGTGTAGTATGTGTGGTGTGTATATGTGGTGAGTGTGGGGTGTGTGGTGTGGGGTGTATGGTATGGTGTGGTATGTGTGGTGTGTGCATGTGGTGTGTGTGTGGTGTGGGTATGTGATGTGTGTGTGGTGTGTGTGTGTGTGGTGTGTGTGTGTGGTGTGTGTGTGGTGTGTGTGGTGTGGAGTGTGTGGTGTGTGGAGTGTGTGCGTGGTGTGTATGTGGTGTATGTGGTGTGTGTGGTGTGGAGTGTGTGGCGTGTGGAGTGTGTGGGTGGTGTATGTGGTGTGTTTGTGTGGGTGTGTGGTGTGTGGTGTGTGTGGTGTGTGGAGTGTGTGTGCATTTGAGGGCGGGAGAGCGTTGGCGCCTGCCCATCTCTTTCAATCCCTGGGTGCTGGGGTCATCCTAGTGCCCAGCTAATTGACAGCGCAGCAGTACATTCCCCCTCTGGACTGGTACCGCCACCTTAGCAGTCAGTTGCCTAGTGGATGGTGAAGAGTCACCAAAGGAACTTTTTTCCAGAAAGTTCCTTTGGTGACGAAAAGCTCCAGAAGCGCTTGAGAAACGGAAAAGTGTGGAGGTGAGGAGGAGCTGAGGGAAGCTACCATAGAATGAGCAGAATTGATTCCAGGACACGGGATTGGGCAAAGGGAGAAGAAAAGAGAAAATTTAACACCTCCCTGAGGATGCTCGTGGCACTCCAAGCCTCCGCGGCGCTCCGCGTCCTGGCTGCATCTCCCTTCTGGCCCCAGCGCTTGAGTGGCGCACGCTCTCCTGCACCTGAGCAGGCTGCACCGCCCTAGAAGTGGGGAGGAAAGTCCAGGCCGACTGGCGACGGAGAGAGATGGCAAGCGCCGGACCGCGCGGAGAGGCTGCCTCGGAGATCCTGCCCTCGAAATTGGAGCGGAGGAGGAGAACTGCGTTTCCCAGCCCTTTTCTGAGTGTGACTGGCCCTGGGTGTTCAAGGGGTCCCCGTTCAGGGTCATGTTCCCTGGGCAGGGCGCCTAAGAAAACAAACTTAAAGAACAGGCAGCGCGGGGCAGGGGCTGGGAGCCCGGCAGTGAGGACCCCAGGAGAGAGACCCCCCTCTCCTACACCGCACACCCGTGCTTACAACTAGCCCGCGCACGACTGCGGCTGCAATACGCGGGGCTTTGGGCGTCGACGGCCGCAGAGCTTATGAGTGGGCCTCTGGGACCTTGGGAACTTTCCCGAAGAGCGTCCGGTTTCCATTTTGGCTCACCAAGGCCTGGAAAGAGACATGTGTGCGTCCCTTCCCGGGCCTTCCGGTTTCCACATGCCTGTGGGCGTAAGCTGTACCCTGCAAGCACATCCTGGGAAGTACAGGTGGCCCCAACTCACAAAGGCCTCGGAGAAGTAGAGAGGCAAATGAGGCCAGGGAGTCGGAATCTTCTGGGCAGACATGCCTGGAGTTCTGTAGCCCCAAGCGCAGGGTCAGTCCTGGACATTCTTCCACTGATTGGGATGCAACAAATGCTGGTGCAGCAACCGCTTGGCTTTCAATTTCCCGTCTTTAGGACCTACGGTTCCGGCACTGGAAGCCTGGCCACCTCCCTGGACGTCGTGGGACCAACTTGGCTTGATGTTTGCATGACCCTGTGACCTCATTTCCTCCTCAGCTGTGAGTGACCTCAACTACTTTGGCAGACGGATGAAGTTATAAAATCCTAGAAACTCCCCTCTGAGAAGGTTCAGACACAGGAGAAGGTTATGAAATACTTCTGAAACTTGAAAATGCAGCATTAAAATAAAACATTTCTGAGTTTGCCTTGGCTGAAGGCAAAAGTAGCTTTGGGCACCTTTCCTCTACTACTTCCCGCCAAAATGGTCTTGTGGACAGATTGAACAACATAGCTACCCAGCCCGAAACTGTCTGCCACTAACACACCTACCTGGATCGCCTGGGCAGTAGCTCAGCCAAGGCTCGGCTTTCTTCCTGATCCTATGATTAAGTTAATGACCGTACAAAAGAAAACACAGGGGAGGCTCACCAAGTGTCTACTCGTGGCAAAGCGTCTATACGTACTCTTTAGAAAATATGATTCCAGCCTATAACGAAGTCAATATCAAAAAGCAATATTTACCTTTTTCTAGACCTCATTTCATCCCTGTCTGAATCCTCAGTGGAAAGTAAAGCTGCTTTCCTGAAAAGGAGATTCCAGAAGGATCAGATAGAAAGGAAAAGGGCATTCAAGATTTTTTTTTGAAAGGCCTAGGATAAGCTGTGTTTGTTTGCTTGTTTGTTTGTTTGTTTTTGAGAGATTTTTGCTCCAGAGATCTAGTGTCCCAGACATGGACAATTTAGTCGGCCTATCAGACATTGTGATTTAAGGATCTGTGGATGCAATTTGCCTCCAAATTTGACTTCAATTTGCTTCCTCACGTCAAATTTCCTTCATAATCTTGACCTTTCTCTAGAAAGACCTCTTTGTGTTCAATTGGAGCCTGATTAACTCATCAGGGAAAAAAAAAATATTTCCCAGTGCTAGAAGTACTTTAAAAAATAGTAGAACCTGCTTTGCTTATTTTACAGATGAGAAAACCAAGCTGCAAGTAATTCAAATTATGTCAACAAAGATGCAGTGTCACGCTAGTTGTGAATAGCAGAGGTAGAATTAGAATTTTAGACAGTTTGCTGGGGTTTAGTGTTTCAGATCATCCAAATGTTGCCTAGGAAAACTGAGAGCAGGCCTCAAAGAAATGTAGCAAATATATATATATATATATTTGGATGATCTTAAAGAACCACACCTGCTTTTTTAGCAATCTAGGTCACATTCCCAATAGGTACATCATTTTGCTCTATACCTACTCTTAACCTGCTCCCTGCCCTAATCATAACTTGCTTTGTAGAGGTCCTAAAATAATGAAGGCTTTAATATCCTGTTAGGGAAAACCATTGCAAAGCCTGTAATGAGACCTTGTATACACTTCCCATGTCAGACCTTTTCACAAGCTTCCACCTTCATATACAGGGGAGAGTCTTCAGGATGTGAAGAAAGGAGAAAAAAAATGAGACAACTCCTGTGATAGCTAAACCAGTGCAGTGCCTGTTTCCAGAGTGACTATGAAGATGCCTGTGGATTAAGTGCATGCTATCCTAAGGCCTAAAGAATTATCGTTCATTTGGTTTTATGTCTAATGGTTACTGGTCGTATCACATACACCTAGACTTTCTACACTCAATATTTAATTAGTTATCAGTATGTAAAGAGTACAGAAGTACTTTTCATAAAGGGAAGAGTAGAAAGAGGAGGGCAATCGTCAGGTTTTTCTGCATTGTAATGTTTCAGGACGCGTTTTTTGCAGAGGCTATACAGTTGTCCATGCCTTTAGAAGGAAAGATGGGCCTTGCAATACATAGACCATGATCAAACCACGGTCATTCCACCTTGGTTTTTAGGGAAACTCCCCACAGGATCTCTAAATAGCTTATGACAGAATGCCATTGTAATGACATTAGAGTACAAGATACCCTTCTATTTAGCCATCACTAGTAGAACCTAAAGTGGGCTTTTCATCTGGTCTCACAGATCCCAGCCTGAACATTGTTTGTCTCAGACCATTTGTGAAGATGCTAATTATCCTGCTGCTGAAAAGAATGCTGGTGTCCCAGTGACAGGTTAGCTGCATGGCAGGCATCTTTGTCTAAATGATTTGTCTTTGATCAAGATGCACAACACTTTCCAGCTAAATATTTTCGAAGTGATAATAAAAACTTATCTTCTTTTAGGCTCAAAATTGGCTTAGAGTACATAAATGCAAATGGTGCCAGGTTTATCATTCTCTCTTATGCTGTTTCTTCCCTTCTTTTCAGGAACTCAGTGAAAATAAGTGACATTTACTCAAAGTATAGTCCTTAACTACAACGATAAAATTTAAAAACTTTCCAAATATTTGCTTTGAAGAAAATAGTCATTTATTGTCAAAGCATCCAACATACTCGGATAAACTATAAAGTTTAATAAATATTTCCAGGGATAAAAGAAACACATAACTATTCAGACTCCATTTCACTGGCACAAAATTACACTTTGTATTAAAAGAAAATACATATGTACATAATTGATGACATTCTTCATTGAAGTCCATTATCATTTCATTATACATGCACTTCCCCCTGGAAACTCAAATTGAATGGTGATCCCTTTTTATTCATTTTGTTTATTTTTGTAGGAACACAAACTGTCATCAAGAAATGCAGAAAGCATCTCACCCTCCTCCTTTACTTTATATCTAAAATAAATTTTGCCCTTACATATAATTATTACATCTAAATCGTAAGTGCTTAATAATTTAAGTAGAAACGTATGACAAATGCATCAATATGTTGCAATATATGACATTTTAAAAAATGTACCTTTGTTTTGGGGAAAGTGAAAATGCGTGCATTCAAAAGAAAACCCCCTCAAACAACCCACCCAATCAAAACTCCACCATCCTGGCTCTTGTGTGTGAGTGTGTCTGTGTGTGTGTGTGGGGGGGGGTGTGTGTCCCGGGTAAATATTTGAATGAGGTTCCTGGGAGGAGAGGACGTGTGTGTGCGCGTTGGGGGGGCGGGGGGGCGGTGAATGTATGTGTCTTTGTGCAGGGTTTCGGGGTGCAAGGAAGCGGTGGATGTTCTCGCGTGTTTATTCCTGCAGGTGGCTTAACTGTGCTTGCGCGCGCGTGGAAAGCTGGGGTCCTTTCCGAGTCAATTATGCGAGGTCATGTGCCTGGAGAGGTGGTGGCGCTCCCTGAAGGACTCATTGCAGATGGGGCACTTGAGTTTCTCCTCTCGCCGCCGCTTCACCAAGGGCTCCATCGCATACTCCTTTTTGTGGTGCGACCTCATATGGTACACCAGGTCGGAGGTCATGCGGAAGGAGGCATTGCACTTGGCGCACCAGTTCTGCGCGGGCAGACACAGCGAGGTGAAGGAGGGCGGCAGCAGCGTGAGCGCCGAGGGCAGCTGCAGCTGCAAGGGCCCCGCGGCCGCCGCCGCAGCCGCGGCTGCAGCGGCAGCGGAGCTCTTGGGCCAGAAGGCGGTGGCGTACAGGAAGGGGCTCTGCTTAGGCAGGCCGCCGCCGCCGCTCGGCAGGGACCCGCAACCTCCGTTCAGGTCCGCGGCCCCCTGGAGCTTCACCGCTAGAGGGTCCGCGGCGGCGGGATAGAGTCTGGTGGGGCCCACGCCGTCGGCGGGGTGGCATGGCTCGAGCGCGCCCAGCTTCTGGCCCAGCACCAGCGGGGACAGCTGCGAGAAAGAGCGTGCTGGCTGCGAGAAGGCGCTTTTGCGCTCGTCCGACGCGGCGCCCTGGCCCCCGCCCGCGCCGCCTGCGGCCCCGGCGCCCGTTCCGCCCCCACCGCTGGTGCTGCCCGCGCTGCCCAGCTGCGGCACCGAAGTGAAGGCGCTGCCCCTCGCAGGACTGCCGCCCTCGAGCCGGCTGGGCAGCGGGCCCCCAGGCCGCGGGGCCAGCAGCTTCTCGGCGCCCACCGGTGACGCGGCCGCGGGCGTGGAGGAGCCGCCGCCGCCGCCAGCGTCCTGGTCCTCGGAGGCGACTCCCGCGCCGTCGGCTGTCCCCTCCTCCTGCAGGCTGGCCGCGCGGGCAGCCTTCTTCACCTCCACGAAGGCGCTGCGCTTCGCCTCGCCCGTCTCGGGACTTGGCGGCGCGAAGAGGCGGCCGTTCTCTTCCAGGCCGAAGTAGCTGCCCGAGGCTCGGTACTGCTGCGGTGTGCACACCAGATCCTCCTTGGAGGCCGGGAGGGGCCGCTCTACGAAGCGGCCCCGGCCCCCTACCAGACCAGCGCCACCGCCGCCCTCCGCCGCCTCCTCCGGGAATTTCCTCTTTCCTTTGCCGCCGCCCGTGGCGATGCCGTCGGGACTCAGCTCCGCCTCCTGGTGGCCGCCGCCGCCGCCGCTGCCGCTACCGCTGCTGAGGCTCTGGGCTGGGGAGCAGCTGCTGCCTCCCCGGGAGTTTTCCAGCTCCCTGGCCAGGTTGTGGAAGTCTGTGGATGGCTTCGCGCTGCTGCCGCCGGCGGCAGCGGATGGGTTGCTGCTTTCCGGGGAGGGGGATGGGTAGTGGTGGAGGGGGCCGGCTTTGCAAAACTTGGGACCCGGGCCTAAAGGTGCCTCCTGCTGCTGCTGCTGCTGGTCTTTGCCACCGCCGCCGCCGCCCCCGTGGTCCTTGGTGCCCACGCCGCCGCCTTGTTCGTCTTGGGGACTTATATCAGCGCTGTGAAGTCTCTTGGGGCAGCGGAAACGCAGATGCGCCACATAGGGGAACTCAAACTGGAAACGTTGGCTGCATTCCAGGCATGTGTAAGGGGACGACCCTGCTTAGTGAGCAAACACCACACACACGCACGCACGCACACACACACACACACGCACACCACATGATTACTCAGCATCGCCCCCAAGCCAGTTTGCCACCATCCCCTTGACAAATCCACCTTCATTTCTCAGGGCCTGAGTGCCTGAGAAAAGAATGACCAACCTGATCTAACTTTCCCTCCTGATTTGGAGGGAATACAGCAAACAAGCAAGTTTCCTCGCTTTATCCTCACCTATCTGTTTAACTTCATTCCAGACTACATCTCAGAATCTTCCTATGAGACACCCGAAGGGAAGAAAGGCGCGCCAACGCGCCGGGTGAGCCCCTGCCGCTCCCTGCGTCTCTCCCCCGCTAGTTAAGGGCCCACACGCCGGTCGCGAGCCAACCTACCATTCATTTTGTTGTGGGATCTAGAGGGGCAGAGCAAGAGTAACTCAGTCAGTTCTTTCCCGTACCAAACTAGTAACTCCTCGTCTTTGGCAATCCTGCGGAGAGAGCGGTAGAACAGCTGTCCGTTTTTTATGTAGGCTTCAAGGTTCTGCTCTTCCTTATCTCTGGCCGATTGGACCAACCGCAGCCACATGAGACCTTCTGAGGAACCATTTGCTGCTGAGGTGTCTACCTGCGGTTTGAAATAAATGAAAGAAGACAAGAAGGAGAGGGGGAGAGGGACCCTCATGAGGGAATGAAATCAGAAGAATCAAGACCATTTCTTCTATGTTAGTCTTTTCCAAAAATTGTCTGAGACCACGCTTCCAAAAGTTTGGCCCAAGCTGGGACCTGTCCTCATGTTTGTAACCATTAGGCAAGATAACCATTCTTTGAAACACTGCATCAATCATATAGTTTATTTAAGTCACCGTTTTTATATATTGGTTGAATACTAAATGAGGAAATTTCTTCTTATAATTTAGTGTTAACCCCTTGAGAGTTTACTTCTAAGTTATTCCACATTACAAAGGTATGGAGAATTTTGTTTGTTTCAGAAATAAAGCAAGCTTAGATCTTAGAAATTATGCTATGGCAATCATGTTCCTAATCTTGGCTAGAACAATTAATAGATTTTCTTTGTAAAGAAGAATAGGAAATGAGAGGTCTGAATCTTCCAATTCAGACATATGGATTTGATGATGCTTTACTGTCAAAACCATAAACATTTTTATTTAAATACAAACTCTGGGCACTAGCTAATATTACCAAAGAAACTAATCTTTAGGGGATGAAGAAGCCTCCTCAAATGGAAGGCAGATGTACCCAATACTTGTCAAAGAACTTGCAGAAACTAGTTAGTATGCAAATAGCCTCCACCCCAGTGAAATCTCCCAGAGTTTAGGAAGTCGTGTTCATCACCAGGATAATCCAGAACTGAAGCACTGATTTAGATATTTCTAACATTCCAAATCAAATTTTGTCATTTATTCCAAAAAATCAGTTGACAATAATTTGAGTTTAATTTTCCTTTTCTAATTTTTGATGTGTGAAATGGGATTGCTTGCATTATTGCATTTTTCCACAGGCAAAACCTATCTCCACTTGTCATTATAATTATTTTTAGTCCATTTCCAACAGGACATTACCCTCATACACCTACACAGCTACAGTGGAGACTTACCCGAAAGATATACGGTACTGTTCTCTTGTCAGTAGACTTGAGAGCTATGAAAGCTATGCTGTCATATAGGGAAGTATGGCTCAGGACACAGGGACCAAATATAGCATTCTCAGGGATGTCGCAGGTGGTGTAAACGCTGGTAAAAATATCTGTCAGACATTGTTGGACAGCCTTGGCATCTCCATCCCAGATGCCTCGCTGGATGCCAGTATCCTCCATCACTGGAGATAGACACACAGCACAAGAAAGTGAGTTATGTTACTGCTTTTAACGCCATTAACCCAAGCAGAACTGTCCAAATACTAGGTAGATTTTCCTTGCACATGCCTGATTTTTGCATAGCTCTTATTTCAAAATTAAAGCAGATAAACATGGCATATTTTAAAGATGAAAACTAAGGGATACTTGTTAAAATAATTAGAATAGTGGGAGATCTGGAGCTGACTGCTTGGGAGAAAGAAAAGAAAGGGCTAGGAAAGACTAGATAATTTTTGCATTACCTTGATGTTGGATTGGGTAGGTTTTAGAGGTGAAGTTCCAGGCAGAATTATATATATATGTACACACACACACACACACACACACACACATATATATATATATACATATATATAATTTTTTAAACCAGCCTATAGACTTCCCTTACTGAAAGAAACTTCTAACCCTTGGGGGAAAGTGCCTGTCTGCCTATGTATTGAACTGGGTGCCCGGGAGCTGATTTTTTTCTTTTCTTCCAAGGAGGGGAACAGCGTTAGTGAGCAGGCGGAGACAGCGGAGCATGGCGAATGGATTTCAAGTGGAATGTCAGGGCCACTAATTCTGTGTCAGCTAACCTTTCTCTGCAGCCTACAAGAAGGGACGTATGTCTGCTCATTACCATAATCCAACACTGTTCCTCTGAGGCTTTAATTAAAAGCAGCAAGCAGAGGTAATTTTTTTTTCTGGACGTGCTTATTTATGGATGAGAGTGAATCCCGGTTACCTTGTTATACAAGGGGGTGGATTGAGTCACATGTGGCTCATGAAGTGAGCAGGTACAGGACAGGCCTAAAGTGTCCCCAGTCTGAAATACTGTGTGTAATGACTGGTAAATTTTCACTCCCCCTACCCCATATGACCCTTTTTGGGCAAGAGGGGGCAGCCCTGCTTGAGCACTCCTCAGTGGGCTCCCCAGCTGTTTAATCCGCAGCAATTTAGAAAGTAATGCCCCAATGCCCTTTATTAAGGTGTCATAAAGGGACATTTTCCTTCCTCTGGACACCCCATACAAGACTTATCACTAAAAAAAAAAAAAAAAAAAAAAAACAAAAAAAAAAAAACCCAAAAAAACCCAGGTATTTAAATTTTTAAACTAGCTTTGAACTAGCTGCATTGCTTAGTATTTCAGACTAATCAAAATATTCCTCCAAGTTTGTTGTTCCCTAATAATGTCACTGTTGGCAATTATTTATGTATGTTTTATATAATTAAAGTAGCAGGAAAGAGTAGATCTAATTCTTTTCCTGCAAAGCTGTTCATTATGGAATAATGTCAGTGACATCTATTTTTATTTTAATTTATATTAACCAGTTAACCTTACACGTGTGATTACAAGGTGTGCTTTTTTCCCCCCATTCCAGCTAACATAGCCTAAAACTTTGGTTAGCCTCATTTTCCATTCATCCTCTTGCATCCCCCAAATGTCAAGTGTTGGGCTGTATCTCCCAGACAGCAGAAATAAGGGAAAATATCCATAAAGTAGAAACTTTTTTATTCTGCATCATCTATCCCTGGTCATTTTTACCCCATACAAGGTAGACATCCTGATTTTTTCATTTCAAATTAAAATACATTTTAAAAACCCCATAACCTCTTATCTCCTTTTCAACGGAATCCTATTCTCCTCTTTTCAATTTCCTTCAATTCAGCGTTTTATTCCCCAATTTCTCTCTTCCTTTTAAAAATCTCTTTCACACAAGCATTTCATTGTGCCGGGAGGTCGCCCCGTCACTTCGGGCAACAGCAGGGACACAGTCATTAAAATGCAGTTCTACCTAACAATACGGCAAAAAGGTCCTCACTACGCCGCGCTAATAGCGGTCGGAGTCGCAGCGCCAGGCGCCACGAGCCTCAAGCCCATCACAATAACCGCTGGGCAAGAGCCTAGGAGCGCCCGCCCGCGTGCGGTCGCCTTTGCCACGCAACGTTTCACAGCTCCGTGCCCCGCTCTAGGCCCAGGTTCTTATCCGCCTGCCCTGGGAATATACCCCAGAGCCGGCGGGGCTTTCTGAAAGCCGGTCGCTGCTGCCCGCCACTGGCCCGTCCCTCTAGGCAGGCATTGTCTGGCGGCCGCGCGCTCCCCAGTCTCCGGCTTCTCCGGCAAAGTGCTCACCACCCGCTCCTCCTTTTGTACAATATTACTGGCAGTAGACAGCCCCTCAAGAATTATTTTTCTCTCTCTTCTGGATAATAAGGAGACGGAAGACAAAATGTTCTACTCTTTCCACCAAACTGTCTTCCTCCCATCCCCCTCCCACATCAATGCAAATAGACTTACCAGGAATAAGGTCAGTATAGAATCTCCCAAATAAGGCCACCTGGAACCGGGAAGATGCAATCGAGTGTTTCCTTTTGCCTATTGTATCAGTGTATTTCCATGTCAAGAGGTGTTGGTGTTGCCGCCTTTTAGGCTCTTCCTGAAGAGATAAGAGAGAGATGGAGAGATGGGGAGAAAAAGATTGGGGGGGTGGAGGGAGGGAGGGAGGGAGAGAGACGGAGAAACGGAGAGAGTTGTACAGATGGACCCGATGCAGTGACTGACTGGCACGCAGACACACACTTTTTGTTTGCTGCACATAATCTGCCCAATGACGCGTGACAGCCCACGTCCCCTCCCTTTAACTCTTTGCTGGGCCAGGCGCTCCCTCCGGCGCCGCCTGCCTCGCAGCTTTTTCCCCCGGCCTGCCCGCGCCCCGCAGATCCTGAGCGCCTACCCCGGGTGGCAACGCCTCTCAGAGAGCGTCCCGGCCCGCCTCCTCCTAAAGCTCGGGCCCTCTGGGACTGCTAGGAGGGGAAAATCGTTTCAGGATTGGAAAGGAAGGTACCAAAATGATTGGAGAGGGCCTTTCCCCGTTTCACTAGGCACTTGGAGAAGCTGTGACAGAGAGCTGGACACCCAGCGCGTGCGGACCCCGTGCGTATTTCCCCGGAGTCCGCGTTCCGTGAAAGGGAGAGGGGTGCGGTTAGCTCCAGGGATTCTCTAGCCCTGGAGCCACCGCTGATTTGCGCAGCTAGTTGCCTGGGGGTGATAAACGGGCGTCGTCTCTCTTCAGGAGCGCCAACACTACCAAGCTTCCCCCTGCAAAATTCAGAAAGGATGCGCTTTGGTGAGAACTTGGCTCAGCCTTCCCGTGGCTTGGGAGATGAGGTTGGAGTGAGAATGTCACCAGACCTCGGAAGGGGACATAACGGTACCTCCTAGTCCCAGGACACGGGTACGTGGGCGGAGGTGGGGTGTGGGAGGTTGGTGGGAAGAGCGCAGGTTACTGGACTCAAACAGTTCCTGTTTTTTTTTTGTTTGTTTTTGTTTTCGTGGGGTTTTTCCCCCCCTCTGCTTGGTGCGTTCTGCGCAGCCCCAGAGGGAGTCTATAATGGGTACTGTTGGCACTCTGAGGTCTTGGGGTTGGGGGGCAAGGGTGATTAAAAATAAAAATGATTACCAAGATGGGCTCCGGAAAGCTTTTCACATCCAGCGGGTGGTGGAGGAGGGGATGGAGTTGCCGAGGCCGTCTCGGGAGCCTCGTTTGTGCGCTAAGCCACTTAGAGGCGCTGACTTGCCCCTTTAGTGCAGCAGCTGATGCTAATGACTTGAGGTCTTTAACAGCCTGCAAGTTGACTCCTTCAACGGGGCTGCAACACCACGTCGCTGGGGAATCTCGGGCTTCTTTTTCACAGTTCAATTCTCTACTCCTAAAGGAAGAAAGGCCTTTGAGTGGTATAGACAGTTTCTCAACTCCTTCAGCCCCACACACACCACCACTACTTTGAAGTGGGCAATCTGTCAGCATTAGGATAAATCGGATTGTGTAGCTAGCTAAAGTGGAGGAGGCAGAACCACAACGTAAGGAGACAGCCTCGTTGTTGTTTTTCCTAGTGTTGAAATAATGTATTTGGGGAGTTGGCAAAGAGCAGCTTACCATGTTAGTTTGATCCTCTCCCAGCTTTGAGACCCTTCTCTGGAACTCAGTGGGGTATTGAGGCTTTGACAGCCTGGTGACTGCAGTCCCAGGAGGCCAGGGGAGGATTTTGCTGAGGAGAAACAAGTGCAAGGACTTTCCCATGAAGTTCATGTTCTTCCTTGTTCTCTCTCTCTCTCTCTCTCTCTCTCTCTCTGTGTGTGTGTGTGTGTGTGTGTGTGTATTTCCTTCTCTTTTCTGGTTAGTACCCCAGGCAAATTCCGAATTGCTGCCTAGAATTAAGCTGAAATTCACAGAAGGAAGGGCTGCAAAATCCCCATATATTCAGAGAAAATGGGGAATCCCTTAGTTTTCAGGTTAGCTACTGACTTTTCAAAGAAAGCTTCTTGAAGTGCAGTTTTATGTACTTTGGCTATGTGCAATTTTATCTACTTCGGCTAAGGTTGGCTCCTAATGACCAAGGCTCAGTGCAATGAGGGCTCTCTCACATGCCTGTATGTAAGAATCTGCAGCTATACTGAGCTACCAATTGTCTTCTGACTGATTGCTCCATTGAATACTAGATTCACTTCTCAGTCTCTCTCTCTCTCTACACACACACAAACACACACACACACACACACACAAAGTATGGACACATGGTCCCCTAATACTTCTTTAAAGAATGGGTGGAAGCATTAGAAATGTGAAAATAATGTCTCAAACATCTGGAAAATAAACCTCAGGTTTGAAGAATAGTGGCCAGAAACTTAAGTTAATTCAGAGTAGAAGAAAGAAGAAAAATAAAGAGCAGAAGAGGCACGGGTGTAAACAACTTCAAGTTAAGAAAGAAAAGTAGCCATAAGAGAGTCATGTGGTCCCTTAGAAACTAGACTGATAAATGCAATATGGTGTGTGAGGAGCAGTGTTTAAGAACATAATTTCATTAATCTGTCTAACAGAACACTCCTTAATGCTTTCTTTTGCTGTTATTTAGAGAATTGGAATTTTATCTTTCAGGAAAAGTCATCTGTCCATGCAAACCATTAAAAAATTATCTTACATATTGTAAATATGTAAGCCTCTACTCCAGAATGTGGACATTTAGAAAATAAACTCTAAATGGAAGGCATTTTTCTTGTGCCTGGCCTTTCTCTTATTAAATACAGAGACCATTTAAACTATATTTCTTTTGAGGTACTAAAACCTTGACTCCAGTTTGTATAAAATAATGTTTTTGGTACTTAAGTTGAGGGTGGAACAGCTTGACCTTTTTATGTCTTAAGCTAGAAAACAGCGACAATTTTATACATCTGAGAAGGGAGCAATTTATTGAGAATCTGGCCAACAGATGCTTCATTTCAGTTTCACTTTTTTGCCCTCTAATTAATTTTTTTCCTACTGCTTTCAGGTAGAGATCCTTAAATATAAGAATTTCTCACATTTTATGAATCTGACCTACCCTTTTTATTATGAGTTAAATAACTGACATAACAAAACAATATAAGTAAGATTAAGTCGAAATTCTTACTTGAAGAGTTTTCTAGTAATTTAAGTGGTACACATTTTGCTTGGTAATATAAATGTCCTAAATGACAATAATTAATAGGGGATAAAGAAAATCTACAAATTATTTTTATTTCTGTAGAAATTTATGGGCTAAAATGGTACATAAACTACTTTGAAATCACTCTGCATTAATACTTACTGGAATTCACTGATACTAAATGAAGGGTTGAGGCATTTATTCAGCCTCAGACAGTACTATAAAAGTGTACCTAGTCAATAGTTTTATGTAATTCATATGGAACAATGGGTTTATGCATATATTTGGAGCTCTCTTCCCTAGGATTTTATTTCCAATTAAGTAATTAGAAGAATGACAATGAAGAGTGGGTATGCTCACCTTGTTCCACTTTAGCAAGGCTCTTTGGAGTCCTGGCAAAAATACACATGTAGGAAACTGTAGTGTTATTTTGGAAGAGTGGGCTGGAGAGAGGTTGATAAATGACACCCCAGGTGGCTTTTATGACCTAAGTGAGAGGGTGGAGAAAGGGTAAGAAAGGGAATTTTAATTCTTAGGGAGTATTAGAATGGGAACACTCTTTCTCTTCCCAGGGTTCAAAAATGGAGCCCAAAATATTTCAACTTCTGTGATAAGAGGCAGGTAACATCTCCAAGAATAATTCACGTAAAGATTATTATCCCATGAGAATGAAAACACACTGATTTTCTTTTTCTATATCTTTCTAGGTCCTGGCTTACCCACCTCTAACTCTATTGCCAAAGCACTATGCCAGCAAAGGCTTGATTGTCAAAAGAGTATGGCAATTCATGGTGAAAGGGGGGGAAAAAACCCACACACTGGAAGATAAGAGGATGCCAATGGAGCAGACAGTGGCAGCTCCTTCCTAAGCTTATTAATTTCCCACAGGGAGGTCTCTGGAAGGGGCTGTGAGGGTTGAGGGAGGAAGAGAATAGATCTTCAAGGAGGAGTATTGTATTACCTAGCCTCACCATTCAGAATAAGGAACTTTTTAAGGGATAAACTTTACTGACTACTTGTACATGAAAGAGAAACAGAAATGATGGGCTGGTCAATTAAGAAAAACACCAGGCCTGTGCCAAAAATGTTGTTCAGAGGGTTGTTAACTCATTTTCTACCACTTTGCCTTTATCAAGAGAAAGATACATGGTGGGTTTTTAAAAAGACCCAGAGGGGTTTGTTTGTTTGTTTTACATTTTGGTGAGTCGAGAAGAGCCATGCTTGCTGAGTTGGGTAAAGGATGATGTGAGGGGGTGGGGTGTGGGAAGGGCTACTCGTTTTTTATAAGTATACATTGCAAACTCAGTTTAGGTCTGTTCCTCACCCTAAGTATTGTAGTTGGCTCACTGGGTATTACATGAGCAAATGTTTTCCAGGCTGGCCCTGGGAAAGCCAGAGACTCAGGGTTGGGTAATTTTGTAGCCTGTGAGGAAGGACTTCAGGCTCCCAACTGTAGGGATCATTACTTCTGACTCATACTTTTCTCTCTTGGGCTTTTCCTCGTAAATGATCCTGCTTTTAATCCTGCTGCTCCTGCAGCTACTACTACCACCATTATCATTACAATGATAATCTACCTTTCTCAAGTTTAAAACTTTCTCTCTTAGCCATTCCCAAGTTTTACTTACACTTGTGTTGGAGTTCAGCTGAGAATGGGATAGTCTTTGAAAGCTGTATGTTATTATCTTCCTCTCCTGGATCTGGGTTGTAGTGAACTGGCTTAATGGCCTCTGAGTATGACTTTTAGAAGGGCTAGCAAACCGAAGTGACATTGTGCACAACTACCAACAGATATGAAATCAGTGCCCCATACTCATCTGTGTGAGTGTGACCTCTGAACCAAATCCAATATCCACTATTTCAACCCCCTGGGTTCTCCCAAATGTTATACTCTTCCCCAGATGAGTGTGTAAAGATCTGGCAAGAAAAGGCTTGGATTTTTGTCAAATCTGTAGGTTCCAAAGTCCTTCCTAGACTCAGACACCACACCCTTTGAACGCATCTCAGTGTGAAGGGGGTTGACTGGTTGTAGCCAGTTCTCCATCAGTCACTCTGAACCTCCTTACCCTCTGGGTCAGGATTTTTAGGCAGACTGCAGATCAGGGGATGTCTAGCAGTCTCAAATTGGTGTCCAGCAGTCTCAAATGAAATTTTGAGAAGTCTAACTCTAGGCCTTGGGAATGTGACAACATTGAGAGGCTTTACATCAAATTTCTTCACACAGCCAGGAGAATGGACATCATCCCAATTCAGTACCTGTGTGCCACCCTTTTCTTCTCTGTTTTAGGTGGATTGTAATTCCTGAGTTAAATAAAGAGGCAACGATAGACACACAGCATATATATCCTGGGCAGACTACACTCCTTGACATCTAATCCCAGTTAGCTTTCTGAGGTATGGACTGTAAGAATTCGGGCTGCTGGGGAAAAAGCAGCAGAAAGCATGGCTCTTCTGGGAAAGAGGTCTAGGCAGGGGACACAAATGTCCAGTACTTGGAATAAACCCATGGTACACTTTCCTGAGGCCTGAAGAGAGAGACATTTCATTTTCTCCAGGAAAAGAGAAGCGAGAGAAAGAAAGTAAAAAGAAAGGAAGAAAGAGAGAGACAAAGAGTATTTGAGAAGCGGATACCAGTTAGGAACCACAATAGTGGTGATTTACCTTGTATTAAAGAGTATTGGAAATATGGTTCAATTTCTTCACAAATTATGCTCCCAAACTGCTCCCTTGCTCATATTGCCAACTGAACTCTGAGTGAAAACTATCTTTCATGATTTCAGTTCAATTAATCCCAGGTGTTCTATGATTTAATCCAGGGGTATTAATTTAGCATCAATGGGGGATGTCTCCCAAAACATTATATGAAGAGGTGTTAGTTTTCAGAAGATTTTCAAAAACACTTGAAAGCTACCAATGTAAGTCTTTCCTCACTGCTAATACTTGGAAAGGTGGTCTCCTTAAAAAAATTCAAAGATCAACATGTCACAAATGCAGCAACATCATTATTACTATAAACACTTCTGGACTTACATTATGAAGTGGAGGCAAGAATAGGCAAGGATTGTAACATATTTGTTCTCTTGAACTTGCTGAGCGAAAAGATGCTTCCCAGGCTGATTTGATAGTATCTGTAATATAGTAACCGTGGTATTATTCATAATCTCCTTTTAAGGAAGTTTAAAGGAAAACTCATATTTTTCAAAGAAATAATACCCGGAATTGCTAAATAAAACACTCATACATTCCTAAGAATAAACATGTTGAATATAATGACCTAGATGTTGAGATTTGCTAGGCCTAGAATTTAACTTAGGCCTGAATAACTTTATACCTGAGCAGAAATTGTCCTCTATGCATATATGGGTATGGGTGTGTGTTTAAGAAGGTTGGGGTGAATGTTGTCAAAGGCAGCAATTAAAAATAAGTTTTAGGACTGTCATTTTACTTGGATGCTTGTCCATTAAGTAGCCAGTGCTCTTTTTTGGATGTTTTCATGTAGGGTGGTTTTGAGAAAATAGTTTGTGTGAAGTCATACAGGACAGCAATTGGTCCCAAGGGAGCAAATTGAATAGCTATAAAGAATATATTTCCTGAGTATAATGTTACTATCTAATATCTTGTGTGTGTGATCAACTATCCCACAGCATTATCTATATTCTAGAGTCAGTTTACTGAAGTCCTAAGACATCTATGTTCCAGATAAGTGGGGTTCCCCTAAACTTGTGAAAATATCCTCGAGAAAGCCAATGCCAATGCACCGAATGCAACGAGTTTCATTTCTAACCTGGGGGACTGAATTAGCTGCTCCTCCTCAAGGCCCCACACAGCTGAGTTTGAGTCCTAAGTTTGGGAAGCAAGACAAGGCACAGAAGTGCCTGCTAGACTCGGACACTTCCTGATGTCTAGATTGTCCGGTGCCCATGTCTTAGTGAAAGGTACAGCGACAGAACTAAGAGTGCAGAGAAGGCCAAATCACGGACTTCAATGTTGGCAAACCGGGTTTCCCTGGGAGAGATCCAAGGAGAGTAACGCCCCCACAGTATCAGGAGGCGCAGACACAGATCACATCGTTTGAGCTGATTCACCAAAGAGTGCAGAGCCCTGACACAGGAGGCTACCAGGGCAGAACAAAACAAGCCATCGTCTGCCCGGCGTCGCCCTTGTAGACGCACAGTGCGCAAACCGTGAATGTGGGGCAGTGTGGGGCCAAGCGGTGCGCTTGGTACGCTCCAAATGAGCCCTGGGCGAAGCAGGGAGGAAATGCAGTTCCCAAGGGCCCGCCACATTTCCCATGTTCTTTAGCCTTCCACCGGCAATTAGTGCCATCACTTGCTTCCCGCTAGGTGACCACTTAACCTGCGGAAAGGCGTTCCAAGGGCGGGGCCTGCGGGAACCTAACACTCTTTCCACCACCCTCTCTCCCTGCCTCTGTGCACGACCTCGACCAGCTGGTCGCCTGATCTCGTTTAGCAGGGCAGGAGCCTGTGTTCCCATTTCTTACTAGCTGGGCTGCCGATGACCTAGCTCAGCCTTGGTTTTCCTCCGGTTGAACAAAAGCTGGCAAGAGCTGCCTCCCGGATCGCAGTGAGGACTCTAAGGGAACGAGGGCGAACGCGCTTTGGAAAGCCAGTTGCTGAGCAGATGGTAAGGGATCACTTCCAAGAGCCAGGGCTAGTTTCATTTCAGTCTTGGACACGAGATGGTCTCAATGCCTTCATTAATGAACATTCTCCTTAGAAGTCTGGAGAACTGACCCAAGAAGAAGGACCAACAATTCAGGCTCAGGAAAGCCCACAATTCCACAGGGGAACCAGGACTGCATGGCTTCGAATCCCAGCCCTCCCCACTCAGGTAATTTAACTGGTCTATACTTCAGTCTTTCATCTGTGAACTGAGAGCATTAAAGGGACCCTTTTCATAAAGTTAGTGCTGAGGTGATACTTAGCAAGCAGAGAACAACGCTTGGTACATACTAAATGCCCATTTCAGAGCTGCCTATTGTTACTAACACTGCCTTTGCTTCCTCATTAGAAAACTGGGAACTGTATTGTGAACCCACTTTCCAAGTGACCCAGCGAGGGCTGAGGATTTCCCGAAGTTTCTAGGGAGAAATGGAAGGAAAGGCAGTCATCCCTTCCCTCTTTCCCAGCCCGCACCGCGCACCTCCCACCCCCACCCCAGGTTTAATGCAAGAGCAATCAGTTTGCTGCGGAAGGCCTGCCCGGTAGATTGATATTTGACTTCCATCCTCCCATGCCCAGCTTGCAAGTTCTTTCTTTAGGCCTGGTAGAGGCGCCAAGGGTCAGGGTCGCGGTGCCACGTTAGAAACGCGGATAAGTCAGTCTGTTAAAGGCTGATCCGGGCGACTCCGTAGGATGAGAAGCATGTGAACACGTTGATGGTAAACTCCAGCGCCGCGGCCAAAAGCCGAGGTCTGGGGGTGGGCAGAGAAACCTGGGGACCGGGCTTCCCAGCGCTGACCAGGGCTCTGGGCCTCCTAGAGCGCGCGTGACCTTCCCACTCCTGTGAAGGGCTGTGGCTCAGATGCGGACCGGGTGGATGGCTCCAGCCCTCCCCTACACACCCAAGTCCCGGAGCTTGGCAGGACGAGGTAACTGATGCCCGGAGGCAGCAGCTACACCACTGGCACTGGAGCTTTGTGCAGGGCGAGTTCCCCCCGTGGCTGCCCTCACTCCTTGTCCCAGCGCCCGCACGCTGGCTTCGAGCGGAGCCCTGTGGGCCGCACGACAGACGGAGCTCCCTGTCTGGCTCGCGATGCCCGGCGGAGCCTCCTTCTCCTAGCCCACGCAGCTTCCGCGCAGGAGCAGCCCTGAACGGGAGCTTTACGTTTTCCCCACGCGCACCGTCTCAAGTTATATGAAACTTTCCGCCCAGGCTAGGACTGGGGATCAGGTAATAGCGGTCAGTTGTGGGTTCCCAGTTGCTCTTCCTCCTGAAGGATCCAAGAGGCAGTGGTTAAGAGGTTGATATTTGGGATTTTGAACACTCAGGTCTGAACCCGGGGTCTGTAATCTCCTACCTGTGTGTTTGAGCAAATTACATAACCTCTCTGAAATTTAGTATCTTCATTTGTAAAATAGTAAAGACAACATCTATCTCATAGAGTGGTTATGAAGCCTGGGTTCAGATCCCAGCTAGGCCACTTGCTTGAGTTAGTTAGTATCTCTATGCTTTTGTTTCCTGTGAAGCAGGGGGATCTGTGAAATAGGGATATTATAATATTTAACATCAATAACATCATATTTAAAGGGTCAGCATAAGAATTAAGTGTGATGAGGCTGGAAGAGCATTCAGCCTAGCACAAAAGAAATGCCCAAAGTTTAAAGCAGCTCAGTGTCTTCTGCTTTGGAATGCTGGGTAAATAGAATTTTTAAAATCTCAGCTCTCTCCTCCCAATTTTTTTCCTCTTTGGAGAGAAACAAGATGCAAAGATGCATGTCAGTGTGTGGGGTGGTAGTGACTGGAGAGTTGGAAGGAAGTAGCTTGTGGTAGAAAGTTAGGTGACCCTTGTGGAAGCTGAATGCGGGTCCTCCTGGCCTTTTGTCTTTAGTGTTTAGGTACAAGGTAAAAGGATTGAAAAGGCAGAGAAAAGGGACTTGGAACATGGAAGACACTCAACAAATGTTTCTTGAACAGAAAATGACATTTCAAAAATCAGGGAGACAAAGAGTCTGTCTGAAATGGGAATGGAGACCCAGAGCTGGGATTGACTGCCATCTCTTGGTGCCAGGTTGCCAGTAGGCATTTGGGGCTCTATAGGAGCATTTCTGAGTGACTTTATGTTACAGATCTCAGGAAGGGGGGTGACATTACTCTAGAAGAACAGACTCCGAGGACAGGAGGAGCAGGAGGTTGCATCCCCCTGCATATAGAGAAGGGGCATAACCCAACAACAGACGCGGAGCAAACCTGACTCAAGAGAAGTTACAAGTAAAACTCAGGTGAAGAGAAGAAAAGAGAAATGATATGGACTATCTTGGGGTGAATTAGGCCTCCAGTATAGGGTTGGACTCTGTATATCCCCCAAACCTTGGAAATTCAATTTGGAGCCCCAAACCCTAAATTCACAGACATCCCCTAATTATCTCCATAGCTCAGACCCTTTCAAAGTAGAGAAGCATACCTGCATTACCAAATGCCCCATCATTTCCCCCTCTCCTTCAATACCAGTATCATCCTCTGACTTCAAATGGGAGCTCTTAGCATTCTTTTCTGTTCTTCATAGATAATAAAATAATGGACAATAATATTTTACCCATCAACTAAGAGGACATTCAAGAAAACGTGGCCTGAAACAGCATTCAAGATGATATTCTTCTGCTTCCCCCCGCCCCAGGGCAGAGAATGCTGATACAGCAACAACCTGGGGTATTTCGTAAACTTCTGGCTCTTAGTCCACTACCCTGACTAAAAGGTGCTGTTAGCAAAAAGGAGAATAAAATAAAACCAATTCCTCAGTGTTCTACCCTGGGGGCAAAGGAGACATTGGTGAGAAGGAGCCACAACTTGGAAAAAGATTTATTTTTCCTGGCCATAAATCTCATCCCTTGTTCCTCTGCCCAACGAAGCATGATAAAGTCCTTTTCCATAAAGTATTCAGTATTAGAGCCACAAAGCTCCCCCAATCAGTAGCCATCTGCTTCTACCATAACTGCTGCTCCCGAAGCAGGGAAAGCAGCACAGAGAAAGGGCACCACTGTTAGGCTGCTGGACAAATGAGGAGCCTGAATAGCTTTGGTTTTCCTTGTGTATCTGTATCTATAGAGACAGCAGAAGAAAGGCCGCATTATATTGATACAACAATTGTAAAACAAAACACGGAAGAGGCATCTAAAGGGCAATATCGCATGCATCAGGGGTCCCCAGATAAAAGGGGCACTAACAGATTTATAGAAACTTTTAATTGGTTTTCAATTGAAAGCTAAAGAGGCCAGGGTGTAGCTGTGAAGAGTGGCAAAGTGCTCTCCTTCAGCCCTCTGGAGGCGTGATCGATTTCATGAAGGGAGAAAAGAGGAGACCCTACCCGCCCAGAGCTGCTGCTTCTTTGAGGGCAGGGAGCAACTCCACATTAGCAACTTTCCTCTTTGGCCAGGGAGTTAACTGATCTGATCTTGACAATCAATCTCTCTCTCTCTCTCTCTCTCTCTCCACCCTGCCTTCTCTCTCTCCCTTCTCTTCCTTCCTCCCTTATTTCCTCCCTTCTTTCTTCCCTCTTTCAGACCAGTAGGTAAGTGGAAAGAGGAAGGAAAGGCTGCAAAAGTAAATCTAACATTCCAGTTCTGGAAAAAAAAAGGCTCCTAATAAGGCCCAGACTTTAAACCTGTTTACCCGCTAGTAGGGAGGCCTCTGAAAGTAACAGGAGTCTGACTCTTATCCTACCCCATCCTTCCTCTTCTCCATTTCTATAACAACCCAGTCTTTCCTTTTCTATACCAAACGGGAAAAGCTAAGCGTCACAGGAGTCTCTCCACCTAGTGCAGTGAGAAGTTTTCCCTTGTGGCCACCGGGTTTATTTCAGAGTGGATCTCTCCATTCAGCCAGTACCGCGCGCCTTTTCCTTAACGCCTTCCTGAGAAGCCAGCTGCAGCGACGGTGGCCCCCGCCAGCTTCGGTGGACAGCGCCCACCCATGCAGCAGCCTCGGACGTCCGTCCGTCTGTTCCTAAAGCTAATTTATTGGCCCGACCCTCCATTACCATTTTCGGCTTCCTAATTAATCAACGATAAAAGGCAATGACGCAAATTACGATTATGAGGGAACTGGAAGACGGTTTTGAATAAAATGGGAGAAGGGAAATATGATTAATTGAACGACATGATAGTGAAATCTCAAGTGCGAGAAAAAGGCCCCAAGGGATCAAACTCTGAACTCATCCGTATTGCAGGTGCGCCCCTCCTGTTGTCCTAGTGCCCTCGCAAGGGGACAGCCCCTAAATTCAGTCACATGGGTCCTAAGCCTTCGGAAGAGACCGAACTGGGTTCCCACTCCAGCTCCCAACCACACTCTGTGCATGAGGCCCTTCCTCCAATCCTACCCCTTCCTCCAATCCCCATCACTCACTTTGCCGCCGCCCCTGACGATTTTCCGGGCTCCTTGCCGGTGAGTCTGCTCCACTTCAGGACCGCATTTTTATTGAAGTGCACCCTATTATTTCGCTAATGAGTTGCGGGTCTCCTCAGTTTCCCTTCTGTCCTTGCACATTCCTCTAGCGAGGCTTTTTGTGAAATTGTAGGAAAACAAGTCTAGTAGGTCAGAGATCGCATTTGCTCGTGTAAGGGATTAATAAAGCTCTTGTCTGATGCTGCTTTTTAGAATTACGTTCGGGATTAAAAGACAGACTCAACACAGGCACACATTTTGCATCCGCTGGTGGTTGTGATTAATTTTTCCGAGGGGATTTGGGCCGGGAGCTTACGGAACGTGCTCTCTGGGTCTAAAACCCAACGACCTCGGCGCACGGGCGAGCGGAGGGTCTGGGGGCACTGTGGGTACGCGCCAGAACACTGGGGGATTAGAGAGGACATCGGACGGGCGCGGAGTTGCCAGCCACTGCGGCCTTTCAATGTCCCTTCCCTCCCTTTCCCCACCCCCAGCGCAACTGCTTCTGAAAAAAAACGGTGAAGACTGTCCGGGGAGGCTGTCTTTAGGGTTTTGGAGAGAAGTGGGGGGCGGGGGAGAGAGAAAGAGAGATACTTTTGACTGTCATGACTTTTCGAGGGGAGAAAGGGGCTCAGTACAAAGCCACTGAACTTTAAGCATCCGTCTAGCAAGGGAAATCCCCAGCTCTGCATTCCAGGGAAGCGCTGCCCCAAGTGCATAACTCACCCCCCAATCAAACAGTCGCCGTGCCCCGTCCCCCGAAAAGAATGACTTCAACCTCTGAGAGCTGCCATTCTCAGGGCTGCTTTCGCGAGCACCCAGGGAGGCACCTATGGAGAGGAGCCAGAGCCAGAACCTGAGCGTGAAACACATCCATCCCCTCCACACTACCTTCCGGCGGGCGACAAACCCTCCCCCCGCCAGTGATCAGAAAAGAAAAGGAAAAGTACCGGGGTGCAAGCGGGGAGGGAGGGGGAAGTAAGAAAACAAGCGCAGAGAGAAAGAGAGAGGAAGAGAGGACGAGGGAGGGGGGAGAGAGAGAGAGAAGCAAAAAGGAAACGAGAGAGGAGTACAGTTAGAACTGAGAAAAATGGGGAAGGGGTGGTCGCGGTGGGCGGTGGGCATTACCGCTTTCCAGCGGAAGGGGGCATCTTTGCGGCAGAGGCAGCGTTCCCCGGGGCGGGGGCGGGACGCCGGGGCAGAGCCAGCCCTGTAGCCCCGGCCCCGGGGTGCTGGCGCCCTCTTCTGGCTGCTGTGCGGCCGCTCCCTGCTTCTCGCGGGTGCTCTGGTCCAGAAACTGTTCCGCCCTCCGCGCCCAGGATGAAGGGGCAGAGGGGAGGAAGGTCAAGAAAGAGAGAGGGTTGGGTACCGGAACGCTCAGGCTCCTCCTTCCCCGCCCTTCGCCTGCCCCGCGGCTTCCTTACCTGGGGACTGTGGGGCTCCTTCCCCGGGAGCGCAGCTACTGCGGGCCCCTCGGCGGCCGCTCTCCCACCCCAATCGGAGCCTGCCGAGGAGCCCGTCCGCCTCGCGAAATGGCCCCGGTCTCTGCTGCAGCAGCTGGGAGGGAGGGAGCGACCGCCGGCTGCTGCCGGGCGGCGTCTGGGGGCCGCGAGCCGAGCGCAAGGAGAAGCCATCTGGAGCCTCGGCAGCGGGCGGGGGTGGGGGTACAAGAGAAGGGGCCAGGCTGCTCGGCCCCAGGCGGGCGCGGGGCAGGGCTCTGGCGTGGGAGTGGCGCCCAGTCGCCCCAAGTACTGCGTGTGTGTCGCGGGAGGGGTGGTGTGGGGAGGTGTGTGAGGGTCATGGCCCCTGGGGAGGAGGAGCGGAGGCCTGCCGTTCTCAAGTCCCGCCGATTACAGGGCAGCCCGGTACCCGCAGGTTTAGCAAAAGAGAGGGGATCCTCCTGGCAACCACCAGCCCCCCTCCAGCCATTCTCCCTCCGGGGATGGAGAGCTGGGCGAGGACAACCCAAGCACTCCTACACGCTCACACACCCGCTGTCCGTCAGAAGTGGTTTGCTCATTTTCCTCTCTTCCCACCTTGTCCATCCCACTCCAGGAAACATTGCTCCCCAAACGGCACGGATTTCTGGACGCCTCCACCTTAAGACAGCTACTTCAGCCAGAACGTGGGACAGGCACTAACGGGATATCACCCTTGGGGATAAACACGCTCCAGTTTCCTGTGGACGGTGGAAGAGGAAAGAACAGGAGAAGCTGCCAAAGGGATGGGGTGTAGGAAGCTCATCCTTGCACGTTTAGACTAGGGAAGAAGAGAATATTAGGGATGGGGGAGGGGGGAGGATGGGAAGTGTAGTTTTTCCCCTTCCTTCCTTTCATTTCAGATCCCATTTAGTGCTTTTATTTCTTTAATTTTGAAAACTATTTCCCTTTCCTGAATCTGGATGCGGGCAGGGAGCGAACTCAAGGAAATGATGAGCATGGATGAGAGCCAGGGGACAGGAGATATGTCCTGGGAACTCAAACTCTGCTGCTTCGCCACTGTCTCCGAGATGCCCTGAGCCTTAGCCCAATGTAAAGGGAGCTGATTGGGTGTATGGGCAGTGGCGGGTGGTCTGAGTAAGAAATAAAATGAGGGCAAGCCAGATCTACTCCCATCCCAAAGCATTAAAAGACACACCTCCCCACCCCTCAGCTGTCTTGTGTCCGGCAGAATGGCATTATGTAAAAGATCTGGCATGTCACCCAGTGGCACATCTGGTAGGTGTAGATGGCATTCATTAGCACGGGGCTTCTACTCTGCAGCATGCCAAAGCTCTGACAGAGATGCCCGCTGCCAATCATTCATTGGCTGCCAATCCCCAAGCGCGGCCGGGCGGGATGGCTTCCTTCCACCCTGGCATCAGGAGTGGAGGAAACAATGTGTTGAGATAGAAGAGATGAAAGTGGAGCTGAGGATGCGAGGCACCCAACAGATGTATCCCATGAGGAGATAACGGTGCTAAAAGTCATTTAGCAAGAAAGCATATGCAGGATCTCAGGAGGGAGGCTTGGGCAGGGGGTCTGCTTGCCTAGGGCTGAGCTGAAGGAAAAGCAGGGGAGCCCTTTCAGAAACCTGAAAGTTGAGGTTGCTTCTCTAAAAACACACAAAGACCAAAACCTCAACCCCCTAAGTGTAGGATTTCCCCCTCTCTTTGGTTTGTCACTTGTATCTCTTTTTATCTAGCAACCTAACTACCTCTGTAAAGGTCAACCTTTGTCATGTTTTTTTCTGAGGACCGAGATGAAGAGCACCTTCCTGTTTTAAATTTTGCATAATTCTCATAGACTAGTAATTTGGGGGCTAAGGGGAGGAAGACTGTCAGGCTATCTTCAGTGCATCGTAAAAGGCAAAGGTCTTATTTCCATTATTAGCTTTTCAGAGGGGATAAAGATGAACAAAGGAAAGCAAGGAAATTATTAAAATGGCAAAGGAAGATTAAACACAAAATCCAGGATAGAGGTTGCCTTTGAGGTTGTTCTTTTTCTTAGGCTGGGTGGCAATTAACAAAGTGTTCAGCGTAGTTTTTCTTTATGCCATATACATATTTTACATTCTTTTTATCCATTCACAACTTAATAAAGCAACAACAAAACTCAGGGCTTTGAAAGTTTGTGGAACTTGGTGTTTAAGTTGACTCTAACTTAAGCTCTTTAGTTTATATATATAATATATATTTGTGTGTATTATCTATACAATTATACTCTTTTTAGTATATGTTATAAAATATTTGGGACATATACTATAAATTTATTCATATTTTATCTAAAACTGAAACTTTAGTTGGCCATTACATATATTTATTTGCTAAATCTAGCAACCTTGGGTATGTTGGCTCATGGTCACAATATAGCTGCTGTAATTCCAAGCATCAAACCATCGTTTTAAACATGAAGAAAGGAACAGGGGCAAAAAGCTGTGGTTGTTTGCTTAATCAATGAAAAGAATACTTTCACTTTCATTAGGCAGACCTGGATCTCCTGGCCACATATACATGCAAAAGAGTTTGGGAAAATTAGCCTTTAAAGTATAAAAAGATAGCGATAAAGGACTGGGGATGGTTGTTGGGTTGCAATCAAAGGTGTCTGACAAAGAAACCGAAGATCAAAGAAGAGTTAATGTTAACATCAAACAAGAGTATAGCTTATCAAGTTTTTTCATTGTTTTAAATAAAAGTTTTCTGTTTTCATTATTGTGATTAAAGGGATACTGTTCTTGAGTTTAGCAGTTTCTTTGTGAATTTTATCAAATATTTCAAAATAAGGGCTTGGTCTTAATGTGTTCAGAAGACAGCTAATGTAAAATTTATCTTATATTTAGATGAAATTAGTATTTGCATTAGTAGTATAATTAGAATGTACTTACAAATTTAAGTGAAACAAAGAAAATGATGTTACAAGGACTGGGATTTGAATTCCCATTCTGCGACTCATTGGGTGTGTGACTTTGGGTATTTTATTTATCTAAGTAATATTTCCCCATTTATAAAATGGGTTAATGTTGATGCCTTGGAGGGTTATCATGAAGTTTAGAGATCATGATACGCATAGAAGGTTTTGAAATGTGGCAATTCTCAGAGACCCAAAAGGAAACAGAAATTCAGCCCAAATGAATCATATTAAGAGATGAGTAGTCTCCCTGTATCTGTGGTTCTGCTTTCTGCAGTTGGAAAATAGGTGAGTACGGTATAAGATATTCTGAGAGAGGGAGAAAGGAAGACCATATTTACATAAATTTTATTACAGTATGTGATGGTTAATACTGAGTGTCAACTTGATTGGATTGAAGGATAAAAAGTATTGATCCTGGGTGTGTCTGTGAGGGTGTTGTCAAAAGAAATTAACATTTGAGTCAGTGGGCTGGGGAAGGCAGATCCACCCTTAATCTGATGGGCGCGATCTAATCAGCTGCCAGCAAATATAAAGCAGGCAGAAAAATGTGAAAAGGAGAGACTAGCTGAGCCTCCAAGCCTACATCTTTCTTCTGTGCTGGATACTTCCTGCCCTTGAACATCAGACTCCAAATTCTTCGGTGTTGGGACTTGGATTGGGCTCTCCTTGCTCCTCAGCTTGCAGACAGCCTATTGTGGGACATGTGATTGTGTAAGTCAATACTTAATAAACCCCTATATATATATATATGAGGCAAGGAGTTTACTGACTCTGTACATAATACCTTTGACCATATGTGGAGAACCAAGGAACACAATGAAGCTGGTTGCTTGCTCCTAAGTTCAGTGGACAAAATGTGGAAAGAAAATGATGAACTCAGGGATTCTGTCTCCTGGCTTCAGAAGCAGATACTGAGCCTCAAATCTGCTAAGATTGCACTAAGCGAGAGTCTTATCTCATGTAGAGAAGGAGCTAAAATTGTGGAAAAACAGACGCAAGCTCTTATCATGCCTGTGGCTCTCCTGTAATGAAAGATGCATGTACAGCTTTGCCAGGTGTCTACTGTTAAAGTAAGGGCATTGATTGGAAAAGAATGGGACCCCACAACTTGGTATGGGGATGTGTGGGAGGACCCAGATGAAGCTGGGGACACTGAGTTTGTAAACTCTGATGAACCTTTTTGACAGAAGAAACAGCTTCCCCATACACAGTAGTGAAAACATCCCCTCCCCAACCCATGCAGCTATCAGCCTTTCCACCTTTGTCTGAGGAGATAAATCCTGCACTGCCTGAGGCAACAGTGATGGCCTCCCCTGCAGCAGTTATCAGGCAAGATAATGTTGATTCTCCTCAGCAGCCACTCCCAGCTCTTTCGTTTGCTTCTAGACCTATAACTAGATGGAAGTCCTGGAGGGCCCCTAGAGGTGAGGTTGAGAGTGTGACCCATGAGGAGGGACACTATACGCAAAAAGAACTGTTTGAGTTCTCTAATTTATATAAACAGAAATCTGGAGAACAGGCATGGATATTAAGGGTATGGGATAATGGTGGAAGAAACATGGAGTTGGATCAGGCTGAATTTATTGATTTGGGCCCACTAAGTTGGGACTCTGCATTTAATATTGCAGCTTGGGGAGTTAAACAGTTTCAATAGTTTATATGCTTGGTTAGCTGAAATATGGATTAAAATATGGCCCACTGCCAGTGAGCTGGAAATGCCTAATCTCCATCGGTTTAATGTAGAGGAAGGGATCCAAAGGCTTAGGGAGATTGGGATGATGGAGTGGGTTAGTCACTTTTGACCTACTCATCCCAGCTGGGAGGGTCCAGAAGGTATACGCTTGACCAATGCCTTGTGAAAGAGATTTGTGAGGGCAGCACCTGCATCTTTGACGAGCCCAGTAATTGCTCTTCTCTATATGTCAGATCTGACAGTGGGAACCACAGTAACTCAACTACAAAATTTAAATACAATGAGAATTATTGGATCCCAAGGTGGCAGGGGCCAAGCGGTAGCACTCAACTGTCAAAGGCAAAGTGGGTATAGCTACCATAATGGACAGCAGAGGCAAAGCAGCAATCAGAATAGTCTGACTCATGTAGAGCTCTGAGCTAATTAATCACAGTGTTCCTAGAAGTGAAATTGACAGGAAGCCTATTATGTTCCTATTTAATTTATACAAGCAGAAATCTTCTAGGTCAAATGAACAAAAGACTAATTTGAATTATAAAAACAGAGAATCATAGCCCCTCAATCAATTTCAAGACTTGAGCTGGTTTACAGACCCAGAACCCCTTGAATGAAGGGGAGGCCAGGTCCCCTTGAGGAAGGACCCCACTGTATTACCGACAATTTATGCAGTGAATCTTTCTCCCATCCTCCCCCAAGGAGACCTCCAGCCTTTTACCAGCGTAACTGTGCACTGGGGAAAGGGCAATGATCAGACATTTCAGGGACTGTTGGACACTGGCTCTGAGCTGACACTGATTCCAGGGGACCCAAAATGTCATTGTAGTCCTCCAGTTAAAGTAGGGGCTTATGGAGGTCAGGTAATTATGGAGTTTTAGCTCAGGTCTGACTTACAATGGGTCCAATGGGTTCCCAGACTCATCCTGCGGTCATTTCCCCCATGCCAGAATGCATAATTGGCATAGATACACTTAGCAGCTGGCAGAACCCCCACATTGACTCCCTGACTGGTAGGGTGAGAGCAATTTTGTTGGGAAAGGCCAAATGGAATCCATTAGAGCTGCCTCTACCTAGAAAATTAGTAAACAAAAAACAATATTGTAACCATGGAGGGCTTGTGGAGATTAGTGCCACCATCAAGGACTTGAAAGACACAGGGATGATGATTCCCACCACATCCCCATTCAACTCTCCCATTTGGCCTGTGCAGAAGACAGATGGACCTTGGAGAATAACAGTAGATTATTGTAATCTTAACCAAGTGGTGACTTCAATTGCAGCTGCTGTACCAGATGTGGTTTCATTACTTGAGCAAATTAACACATCTACTGATACCTGATACACAGCCATTGACTTGGCAAATGCCTTTTTCTCCATTCCTGTCCATAAGGCCCACCAGAAGCAATTTGCCTTCAGCTGGCAAGGCCAGCAATATACCTTTACTGTCCTACCACAGGGGTATATCAACTCTCCAGCTTTGTGTCACACTCTCATTTGGAGAGATCTTGATTGCTTTTCACTTCCACAGGATATCACACTGGTCCATTACATTGGTGACATTATGGTGATTAGATCCAGTGAGCAAGAAGTAGCAAACACACTGGACTTCATGGTGTGACATTTGTGTGCCAGAGGATGGGAAATAAATTTGACTAAAATTCAGGGACCTTTTACCTCTGTAAAATTTCTACGGGTACAGTGGTGTGGGCTCTGTTGAGATATTCCTTCTAAGGCGAAGGATAAGTTGGTGCATTTGGCCCCTCCTACGACCAAAAAGGGGCACAATGCTTAATGGGTCTATTTGGATTTTTGAGGCAACACATTCCTCATTTGGGGGTGTTACTCCAGCTCACTTATCAAGTGACCCAAAAGGCTATCAGTTTTGAGTGAGGTCCAGAACAGGAGAAGGCTCTGCAACAGGTCTGGGCTGCTGTGCAAGCTGCTCGGCCATTTGAGCCACATGACTCAGGAGATCCAATGGTGCTTGAGGTGTCTGGCAGATAGGGATGCTGTTTGGAGCCTTTGGCAGGCCCCCATAGGTGAATCACAGTGGAGGCCTCTAGGCCTCCATTGCTGTCATCTTCTGGAGATAACTACTCTCCTTTTGAGAGACAGCTCTTGGCCTGTTACTGGGCTTTAGTGGAAACTGAATGTTTGACTATGGGCCAAGTCACCATGCAACCTGAACTGCCTTTCATGAACTGGGTGCTTTCTGACCCATCCAGCCACAAAGTGGGTTTTGCACAGCAGCATTCCATCATCAAATGTAGGTGGTATATATCTGATCAGCCTTAAGCGGGTCCTGAAGACACAAGCAAGTTACATGAGGAAGTGGCTCAAATGCTCATGGTCTCCACTCCTGCCACCCTGCCTTCTCTTCCCCAGCCTGCACCGATGGCCTTATGGGAAGTTCCCTATGATCAGGTGACAGAGGAAGAGAAGACAAGGGCCTGGTTCACAGATGGTTCTGCACGATATGCAGGCACCACCTGAAAGTGGACAGCTGCAGCACTACGGCCCCTTTCTAGGACATCCCTGAAGGACAGCGGGTGAAGGAAAATCTTCCCAGTGGGCAGAACTTTGAGCAGGCCACCTGGCTGTGCACTTTGCATGAAAGGAGAAATGGCCAGATGTGCCATTATATACTGATTCATGGGCTGTAGCCAATGGTTTGGCTGGATGGTCAGGGACTTGCAAGAAGCGTATTGGAAAACTGGTGACAAAGAAATTTGGGGAAGAGGTACATGGAAGGACCTCTCTGAGTGGTCAAAAACCATGAAGATATTTGTATCCCATGTGAGTGCTCAGCAATGAGTGACTCCAGCAGAGGAAGATTTTAATAACCAAGTGGATAGGATTACCTGTTCTGTGGACACCATTCAGCCTTTTTCCCCAGCCACCCCTTTCATCGCCCCAACGGGCCCATGAAGAAAGTTTCCATGGTGGCAGGGATGGAGGTTACACATGGGCTCAGCAACATGGACTTCCACTCACCAAGGCTGACCTGGCTGTGGCCACTGCTGAGTGCCCAATTGACCAGCAGCAGAGACCAACACTGAGCTCTCAATATGGCTCCATTCCTCAGGGTGATCAGCCAGCTACCTGGTGGCAGGTTGATTATATTGTACCTCTTCCATCATAGAAAGAGCAGAGGTTTGTCCTCACTGGAATAGACACTTAGTCTGGATATGGGTTTGCCTATACTGCATGCAATGCTTCTGCCAAGACTACCATCTGTGGACTAACTGAATGCCTTATCCACCATCACAATATGCCACACAGCATTGCCTCTGACCAAGGCACTCACTTTACAGCTAAAGAAGTGTGACAGTGGGCTCATGCTCATGGAATTCACTGGACTTAGCATGCTACTCAACATCCTGAAGCAGCTGGATTGATAGAATATTAGAATGGCCTTTTGAAGTCACAATTACAATGCCAACTAGGTGACAATACTTTGCAGGGCTAGGGCAAAGTTCTCTAGAAGGCCATGTATGCTCTGAATCAGTGTCCAATATATGGTTCTGTTACCCCCATAGCCAGGATTCACAGGTCCAGGAATCAAGAGCTGGAAGTGGAAGTGGCACCACTCACCATCACCTCTAGTTATCCACTAGCAAAAGTTTTGCTTCCTGTTCCCATAACCTCACGTTCTGCAGACCTAAAGGTCTTAGTTCCAGAGGGAGGAACGCTGCCACCAGGAGACACAACAACAATTCCATTAAACTAGAAGTTAAGATTTCCATCTGAACACTTTGGGGTCCTCTTACCTTTAAGTCAACAGACTAAGAAGGGAGTTATAGTGTTGGCTGGGGTTATTGATCCAGACTATCAAGATGAAATCAGTCTACTACTCCACAACGGAGGTAAGGAAAGAATATGCACGGAATACAGGTGATCCATTAGGGTGTCTCTTAGTATTACCATGCCCTGTGATTAAGGTCAATGGGAAAGTACAACAGCCCAATCCAGGCAGAACTACAAATGGTCCAGACCCCTCAGGAAGGAAGGTTTGGGTCACTCCACCAGGAAAAAAAACATGACCTGCTGAGGTGCTTGCTGAAGGTAAAGGGAATACAGAATGGGCAGTAGGAGAAGGTAGTCATAAATACCAGCTATGACCACTTGACCAGCTGCAGAAATGAGGACTGTAACTGTCATGAGTATTTCCTCCTTCTTTTGTTAAAAACATGTTTGTGCATGTATACACTTGTACTGAGAAATTATCCTCATTTTATTTCCTTTTCCTTTATCATGTGACATAAGATTAATTGACTTCATATCAGCATTTAAGTATTGTTAACTTTATGTAATAGTATTTGGATGGGGGTATTGGTGCATTTCCGGTTGTACGAAAGATAGTTGTATTATTTTAAGTGTAATTATGACCTTATTATTGTCTTTATTTGAAGATTATGTATGATCTCAGGAGATATATATGGGTTCAAGTTGACAAGGGGTGGAGTTGTGATAGTTAATACTGAGTGTCAACTTGACTGGATTGAAGGATACAAAGTATTGATCCTGGGTGTGTCTGTGAGGGTGTTGCCAGTAGAGATTAACATTTGAGTCAGTGGGCTGGGGAAAGCAGATCCACCCTTAATCTGGTGGGCACAATCTAATCAGCTGCCAGCAAATATAAAGGAAGCAGAAAAATGTGAAAAGGAGAGACTGGCCCAGCCTCCCAGCCTACATCTTTCTCCCATGCTGGATGGTTCCTGCCCTCTATCATCAGACTCAAAATTCTTCAGTTTTGGGACTTGGACTAGCTCTCCTGGCTCCTCAGCTTGCAGACAGCCTATTGTGACACCTTGTGATTGTGTAAGTTAATACTTAACAAATTCCCCTTTATATGTATATATATAATATATGTACATGTGTATATATAGGGGAGTGCACAGTATATTGTTATATGTGTTCTATTTTATCTTATTGTTCATCTCTTGCAGTGTCTAATTTATAAATCAATTATTTTCAGAGGTATGTATGTATCAGAGAAAACATAGTATATACAGCATTTGGTATTATCTGTGATTTTAGCCATCCACTGGTGGTCTTGGAAATAATTGCCCCATCCTCAGGTAAGGGAGTGCTACAAAGATGTGGACCAGGTGATGAGAACAAACGAGAGAGTGAGGGACACAGAAACCAGCATAACAAGAAGATTTTAGGAGAGGAATTAGTGTTTCTACAGTCTGCTAAGGACCAGAACCTTGGAAGAAGGGCCCAGTGTGAGACCTACAGAAACAGCTACTGACACAGAGACAATGGTGTAGCAAGGAGAGGACAGGGAAGAAATAACTCATCTTTTCTTTTCTCACATGCTCCAATTTCATGTTAATGCCTTCCAATGGCCTAACTCAACCGGAAGCTAACTAACCAGCAAGGTTCTGGAGCATGCTAACGAATCTGCATGAGTCAGCCTCTGGCAATATAGAGCCAGGAGAGGACAGAGAATGGATTTTGGAGAGACAAATGGAGAATAACCATTACATTACTACTATTATTCACAAATAGAATTATCTGAGAACTCTTTCTGAAAACATCTTTTTCATGCACAGTTTCAACTGGAAGTAAAAACTTACTGGGTTTTGTAAACTTAAGCATCCAAGATTTTAAAGAATCATTTCTCAGAGCCCTTTGGCTGGAACATTCCTAGTAGCATTTAGGAAGGATTTCCAGAAGTCTTGGGAGGCTTTGCAAGCCAAAATCTGGAAGAATTTGAGAGTATGCTTTTATTGACTTCCTTTGGGCATCCCCAGGTCTCTCATCATTTGGTGGTTTCCTGTGTCAGCACCAGTCTTACTATGCCTGGTTAGTCACTTGCTGATTGTTTTCAAGGAAGCCAGCCAGGCTTCAACAAAGGGTGACTACCTCAAAACAAATCAGCTGCACAGCAATAGGAACTCCTACTAATGGCTTCCCTTGAATTCACAAACTGTGTAGATTTTAGAATGAAGTAACATTTTCTCTTTCCAACTTTGCCATCCCTGTCTCTTCCTCCTGAACCTGAACTAACCCACAGACAAAAAAATGGAAGAGGACAGTGGTGGAGAAGCATGCTCTCTTTCCTGAAGCCTTAGATTAAAATTATACTCAAGGCCGGTTGTCATGGCTCATGCCTGCAATCTCAGTGCTTTAGGAGACTGAGCTGGGAGGATAACTTGCGACCAAGAGCTCAGGATCAGGTTGGGCAACATAGCAATATTCTGTCTCTGCAATAAATAAATAAATCAAATTATCTGATTGTGGTGGCACGTTCCTGTAGTCCCAGCTACTGAGGAAGCTGAGGTGGGAGAATTGCATGAGCCTGGGAGTTCAAGGCCACAGTAAGTTAAAATTGTGCCACTGCAATCCAGCCTGAGCAACAAAGGAAGACTTTAACTCTAAAAAAAAATTATAGCCAATATCAGAGTCTTGAATATTCACTGTAAACATCAGCACAAACAAAAGCCCGATTTCTAAATCTCATAGAAACTAAGAGTTTGAAAACTTGAGAGGACTGATATAAAGTTGGAAGTCAGTGTTTCAAAGGAGAGAGACAGAGTTAGCTATAGGAAAACAGAAAATTAGGAGTGGAAAGCAAAGAAGAGTCTTGTAAGTAACATATATAGCTGAACAATAAATACAAGTGAAATAGATTGACTTCTAGAATGGCAGTGTGGGAAACTCTGCTGAGCCACTCCTCAGTGAAACTGGTGAAAATTGTGTGTAAAGAAACAACCACTTAAATTCTCTGGAAATGGTCCTAAGGGCAAATGGTAAATAAAGAAATACCTATTAGAGGAAATTATGAATATCTGTCAAGAGAGGTGAGTCTGTGACATTTGAACTGAAACTACTACTTTCCTTGCCCCTCCCAGCTCAGTGAGGCAGAGACTCTACTCCAGACGCTGCAGCCAAGAATATGACTCTTTATATTCCTTAGGTGTCAGCTGCAGGGCTTTCATTGCAATAGGACATAACTTGAGCTTTTTTGGTCCTGCCCGTAGCTGTCTGTTGCTAAGGCTAAGTCTTAGGTGAATACAACTGGGAGGAGGAAGCTTCCTTCTCCCACCCAACACTTTCTTGTAAAAAGGAAGTTCTACCTTGGGTGTGGTGCATTGAGAATGAAACTACCTTTGCAAAAATTATGACAGTGAGAGAAATGTAACCTAGCTGACACTGCCATACTTCTAACTTAACAAGCTAACTGTGTTTGCTCATTCCTGGGTGTAGGCGAAGCTAATTGTGGAAGGAATTTAGCTTATAGTTTAACTTTAAATAAAGGATAATAGTCTCCCCCAAAAACTGACCCCCTCTGGGGACTGAAACCACCTTTGTAGGACTAATGAAAGGCCAAAAGCTTAGGATTATGAGTGGGGAATGAATTCTGGTAAGATGTAGATGTAGTTAAATGATAACCAGCCACAGTTCCGAAGATGACAAGATTTGTAAGTTCTTTAATTGCTCTTATAGATACCAACGGTATTGTCAAAACCCAATATTGGTCTTTGAGGTATTTTTCAGACTTTTGCACTTTGGCTGACCAGTTGATGCCACCTGGATCTGTGACTCATACCAGGGAACTGACTTAACCAATCCTGTGACCCCCTACCCTGAAACTGACTCAGCACATGAAGAACATTTTGGATACACCTATGATTTCATCCTGAACCAATCAGCAGGACCTAGTCCCTAACCCCCTGCCTGCCAAATTATCCTTAGCCTCCGAGCTTTCAATACTTAAACTCTTTCTTTGCTGCAGTATCTGCTATTTTCAGGGAATTGGCTTTTCTGGGCAGTGGGTAAGATGAACCAATTGGGCTGTTAACAGGAATACTGGAGCCTTGGGAGCCTTTTCCTTGGCCTTTGAAGTAAAGTTTCCACACCATGAGTGGCAAGCTGAAAGACCTGCAAACTCCTCTCTCACCCCATCCACCAAGCATTCAGCAATTAGAGCCAGGGTATTACTCAGAGAGAAGCTTGTCATTGTTTCCACCCCCAACTCCGTGCTCTAGCTCAGAAATTTTGCCTAGGGAGAGAATCAGGCCATAAAGCATGCAACTCTTTATCTCTTCCCAAGGGATCTTACTTTATTCCAAACAAAGTGTAGATAATTTTAAACTTAAGGGCACTCTCAAGAACAGTAGAAGTTGTGGTGAAAAGCAATTGAGAGGAAATTTTGGGACCAAATGAAGATATAGCCTAGACTGTAGGCCAGCTAGTTTGTAAGAGAGAACTGGGAAATAAGATAGCTGACAGGAGCTCTCTTGGAGTTAATACAAATAGCAAACACTGATCTCAGAAACTTTCCCATATAAAGTGTCACAATATTATTAGATTTATTTGTATATCTTTTTTTTTTTTTTTTTTTTGAGACAGAGTCTCACTGTGTCTCCCAGGCTGGAGTGCAATGGCACAATCTCAGCTCACTGCAACCTCTGCCTCATGGGTTCAAGCGATTCTCCTGCCTCAGCCTCCTGAGTAGCTGGGATTACAGGCACCTGCCACCATGCCCAGCTAATTTTTGTATTTTTAGTAGAGACGGGGTTTCACCGTGTTGGCCAGGCTCGTCCCAAACTCCTGACCTCAGATGATCCTCCCGCCTTGGCCTCCCAAAGTGCTGGGATTACAGGCATGAGCCACCATGCCCGGCCAATTGGATTTATTTGTAAAGAAAAAATTATGTTCCAGGGCACTGTTGGAAACAATTAAGCAATAGGCCAGAAATTAGTAGAGTTTAACAGCTAGGTGTAATCAGCGAAAGGGTGGGAGAGAATCTTACCAGTACCACTACTATCCCAGGATAATTGTTAGATATACCCAGAACTGTGCCTCACTGATCAGAGAGCATCAGAGGCTTACCATGATGTGTATGTTGAAAAGTGAGGGAATGGAAGCCAGGGAATAGACTTCAACTAAAATAACTCAGCACTCACTAAACAAATAAACAAGAAAATAATAATCGCAATCCTAGAGGGGGGCGGGGTACCAGTTTCCAGAGTTACTAAGATATATTATCTAAAATGTCCAGTTTCTAACAACAAATTATGAGCATGCAAAAGAATGGAAAAGTATAAATTGTATACTGGATGAAATACATGCAACAGAAACTTCTTATCAGGGTAAATTAAACAATTAAATCAAAAAGCAGAGATTATCAGACTTGATTTAAAAACATGCTTTAACTATATGTTGTCTTCAGGATAAACTTTATATTCAAAGACATAAATAGATTGAAAATAAAAGGATTTAAAAATATCAAAGACCAGGTGCAGTGGCTCATGCCTGTAATTCCAGCACTTTGGAGGCTGAGGTGGGCAGATCACTTGAGGCCAGGAATTTGACACCAGCTTGACCAACTTGGTGAAATCCCATCTGTACTAAAAGTACAAAAATTAGCCAGGCATCGTGGCACACACCTGCAGTCTCAGCTATTTAGGGAGCTGGGGCATGAGAATCACTTGAACCTGGGAGGTGGAGGTTGCAGTGAGTTGAGATGGTGCCACTGCACTCCAAACTGTGTGACTGAGTGAGATCCTATCTAAAAAAAAAAAAAAAAATTCAAGCAAACAACAACCACAAGAAAGCTGGCGTGGCTATACTAATAACTAAGTTAAACAGTTTTGCAGGATACAAAATCACTCTGCAAGAATAATTTGTATGTCTATACACTTACAATAAACAATATGAAAATAAGTTAAGTAAACAATTTCATTCATATTAGCATCAGAAAGAATAAAATACCCACAGGAGCAAATTTAACAAAATAAACGCAAAATTTATACCCTGAATACTACAAAATATTGTTAAAAGAAATTACAGAAGATTAAATAAGTGAAAAAACATACCATGGTCATGGATAGTAAGACTTAATATTGTTAAAATGGCAATATGTTGATCTACAGATTCAACATAATTTTTATTGGAAACCCAGCTGACTTTGCTGACATTGATGGCTGACTCTAAACTTAATGCGAAATTGCAAGGAACTCAGAATACCAAAACAAACCTGAAAATAATAAATAAGGAGAGCTTATATGTCTTGGTTTCAAAACCTACTACAAAGCAATTGTAATAATAACAGAGTGATACTGGCACAAGACAAACATTTTTATTTATTTGCTTAGGTGCCATAGCAGAATATCACAGACTGGATGGCTTAAGCAACAGAAATGTATTCTCTCACAGGTCTTGAGGCTGAAAGTCCAAGATCAAGGTGTCATCAGGAATGGTTTCTGGTATGAACTTTCTTCCTGAGTTGCAGATGGCTGCCTTTTCACTGTCTTCTCCTATGTGAGCATGCACTTGTGGTGTTTCTTTCTCTTGTTCTAAGGATACCCGTCCTATTGGGTTCAGGTCCTACTTTTATGACCTCATTTAATCTTCATTACCTTCTTAAAGGCTGTATCTCCAAATACAGATGGGTTAGGGCTTCAATACATGTATATGGGGGGCAGGAAACACAATTCAGTCCATAACACAATGCACAGAATTGAGAATCTAGAACTAAACCCATATCTCCATGGCCAACTCATTTTGTGCACAGGGTCCTAAAACATTAATGGGGAAAGAATAATCCCCACAAATTGTGCTGGGACAATTGGATAGCCACAGGCAAAAGAATGAAGCTAAACCCTTACCTCATACCATACACAAAAATTAACTCAAAATGGATCGAAGTCCTAAAAACTGAATGTTCTTAGAAGAAAACATAGAGGTAAAATCTTCATGATTTTGGATTTTCTAAAGAATTCTATAATATGATATTCAAATTAAAAGCAACAAAAACATTGAGAACTTGCAAATCATATATTTGATAAGAGTCTTACAGCTACAGTATAGAAAGAGCCCTTGCTACTCAATAATAAAAAAGTGATGCAATTAAAGAAAGAGCAAAGGATTTAAATAGACATTTCTCTAAAGAAGATTTAAAAATCACTAATAGGCACTTGAAAAGATGCTCAATATTATTAGTAATGAGGGAAATTTAAATCAAAACAACAATGAGGTATCATTTCACACATACTAGATTGGTTATAATAAAAAGGACAGATAATAACAAGTGTTGCCAAGGATGTGACAGTTCTTCAGAAGGTTAAGTTATCATATGATCCAGAAATTCTATCCTTTGATAACATATTCAAGGGAGTTTAAAAGATATGTTCGCACAAAAACTTGTATGCCCATGCTCATAGGATCACTATTCATAACTAAAAAGTGGAAACAACCCAAATATCCATCAACTGATGAATGAATAAACAGAATATCTTATATGTATACAATGGAATAATATTTACCCATAAAACCTAATGATATACCGCCACACACTACAACAAGAATGAACCTTGAAAACATTATACTAAGGAAAATAAGCTAGGTACAAACTGACAAATATTTTATAATTCTACTTGTATGAAGTATTTAGATTAGTAAAATTCATAGAGGCCAAAAGTAGAACAGTGGGGTGAGGAGGAAAGGAGAGTTATGATTTAGTGGGTACAGAGTTTCTGTTTGAAACAACGAAAAAGTTCTGGAGATGGATAGTGGTGAAGGTTGCACAACAGTGTGAATGTAGTTAATGCCACTGAGCTGTACACTTAAGGAAAAGTGTTAAAATGGTAAATTTTATGCACGTATATTTTATCACAACTGCACACATTGCAGGTGAGATAATATTTTGTGATGGGGTTTTAATGTGGAGGGAGGGTAAAAAGACACATATGGTGGTAATGTATCTATAGTCTACCTAAAGTAGTGAAATACTTATTCTACGTAGACTGTGCAAAACTAGCATGCTATCTTATAAGCCCTAGTGCAATTGCTTAAAAGCTATACAAAATATATAATAAAAAACAATGGATAAACCTAAATCACTAGCTACCACTTCACAACACTAGAATGGTTGTAAGAAAAAAATAATAATAAGTGTTGGCAAAGATATGGTAGGTAATTTCTCAAAAAGTTAAACACAAAGTTACCATATAATCCAGAATACTAAAAAATGCTTAACCTAAAATAGGAAAGGGAAAACAGGAGAACAGAAATGAGATACACTGAACAAAAACAAATAATAAAATGGTAGCTCTAAATGCAAACTTTCAATAATTGTATTAAATGAAAATGTTCTAAACACACCAATGGAAAAGACAGGGAAAAAAAACCACCACAAAACAAATTTATGCTGTCTACAAAATAGTGTGTTCAAATATATTTGATCAAAAAATATTAGGTCAATAGTAGAATGATAAAAATGAACACCTGAAAACATTAATCAATAGATATCTGCAGTGGCTATATTGATTACTGATATAGACTTTATAGCCAAAAAACTACCAGGAATAAAAGGGTCAGTATATAATGTTAAAGGAGTCAAATTATCAATAAGATAAAACCATCTTCAATCTGTATGCACCTAGTAATAGTAATTAAGTTACACAAAACAAAAAGGAATGGAAGTTAAAAGGTAAATAGACTAATATACAATTATAATTGAAGACTCCAATACTATTTTCTCAGTAACAGAATAACTAGTAGACCAAAAAATCAAGCAGGATATAGAAGAAAAAAGTATCACTATCGAACAACTGGATCTAATTGGCATTTATAGAACACTCCCCCAAACAACAGCAAAATATACATTTTTTCCCACATGCAATTGGAATCTTTACCAAGATAAGACGTGTCCTGGAACATAAAAAAAAATTAACAAATTTAAAATATTTGGAATATATGAAGATGTTCTCTGACCACAGTGGATATTAAACAAGAAACAAATATCAGAAAATTAACAGGAAAATTTCTAGACCCTTGGAAGTTAAATAACACGTATTGAAATAACCCATGTATCAAAGCAGAAATCTCGAGAGAAATTAGAAAATATTTTGAAATGAAGAAAAATGAAAATACATAAATTTTTTTTTGATGCAACTAAGTCACTGTTTGGATTAAAATTTATAACAACAAGATACATCTATCAGAAAAGAAGAGATCAGGTGCAGTGGCTCATGCCTATAATCCCAGCACTTTGGGAGGCCACACTGGGCAGATCGCTAGAGCTCAGAAGTTTGAGATCAGTCTTGGCAACATGACTAAACTCCATCTCAAGAAAAACACAAAATTAGCTGGGCATAGTTATGTGCGCCTGTTTTCTCAGCTACTTGGGGGCCAAAGCTGGAGTATTGCTTGGGAGATGGAGGGTGCAGTGAGCTATGTTTGTGCTGCACTCCAGCCTGGGTGACAAAGTGAGACTTGAAGGAAAGAAAGAAAGAAAGAAAGAAGGAAGGAAGGAAGGAAGGAAGGAAGGAAGGAAGGAAGGAAGAAAGGAAAAAGAAAGAGGGGAAGGAAGGAAGGGAGGGAGGGAGGGAGGAAAGAAGGAAGGAAAGGAAAGGAAAGAAAAGAAAGAGAGGGGGAAAAAACATTCTAAAAAAAAAAAATCTAAGCTCCCACCTTAAACTAGAAACAAGAAAAAAAAGAAACAGAAAGAAATAGTAAAAATAACAACATAAATCAAATGAATAAAAAGCAGAAACACAATAATCAAGGAAAACACAAGCTGATACCCTTAAAAGATTGATACAATTTATAAAGCTCTAGCAAGATTTACAAAGAAAAAAGAGACAAGACACAAATTTCCAGTATCAGGAATAAAAGAAGAGACACCATGACTGACTTTGCAGGCTCTAAGAGGATACTAAGTTAATACTATTGATAAATGCAACAAATCTGACAAATTATGTGAAATTCAAATTACTTGAAATACATCAAATTACCAATACTTACCCAAGATGATATAGATAATATGAATGGTCCTACAGCTATTAAAACCTCGAATTCAAAGTTAACCAAAAAAGCTTTCTGAAAAAGAAATCTTTATGCTTAGGTGTCTTAACTGTTAAATTCCACTAAATGTTTAAAGGAGATATAACACTAATGCTAGTTAAATTCTACTAAATATTTAAAGGAGATATAACACTAATGCTACATACTTTCTTCCAGAAAATGGAATAAAGGAGATATTTCATAATTTATTTTATGAAACCACGAATAAAATTCAAACAAAGGTGATACAGGAAAAAAAATTCCAAAGACCAATATATTCCTCATGAACATAGACACAGTCCCTGGTAAAATATCAGGAAATTGAACACAGCATTATATAAAAGGTAAACAGGAAACCAGCACTAAGGAAAAATGCAATTTACTCAAATAATGCAAGGTTTGTTCAATAATTGAAAAGTAATCTGTGTAACTCATCATATTGACAATCTAAGAAGAAAAACCCACATTTTATCAATTGATCCTGAATTGGCATTTGACAATATTTGATGTATATCTGATATAGATACAGATATACAAATTTTTTGAGACAGTCTCGCTCTGTCACCCAGGCTGGAGTGCAGTGATGTGACTACAGCGCGCTGCAACCTCTACCTCCCAGGCTCAAGTGATCCTCCCACATCAGCCTCCTGAGTAGGTGAGACTACAAGTGTGTGCCACCATGCCTGGATAATTTTTTATTTATTTTTTGTAGTGACAGGGTCTCACTATGTTGCCAGATCTGGTCTTGAACAGCTTTGCTCAAGCCATCCTCTTGCTTCAGCCTCCCAAAGTACTTGGATTATAGGCGTGACCTACCACACTGGCTTATATTTTTAAAAAGTTGTATTGTGTACATATGTGCAGTGCAACATAATGCTTTGATATATGTATACATTTGGAATAATTGAATCAAGATAATTAGCATGTACATCACCTCAAATACTTTTTTTTGTGGTGAGAAAATTTAAAATCTGCTCTCTTAGCAATTCTCAAGTACACAGTACATTATTATTAACTATAGTTACCATGCTATACAATAGATCTTCAGAACTTATTTCTGCTGTCTAACTGAAACTTTAAACCTTGTGACCAGCATCTTCCCATACTCTCTTTGTCCCCAGCCAGCCCCTAGTAACTGCCATTCTACTCTCTACATCTTTTAATTCAACTTTTAAAGATTCTGCATATAAGTGAGATCATGCAGTATTTGTCTTTCTGTGCTGGACTTATTTTACTTAGAATAATGTCCTCAAGTTCCATTCATGTTGTTACAAATCACAGAATTTTCTTCTTTTTTTAAGGCTGAATAGTATTCCATTGTGCATATGTACCACATTTTATTTGTTCATCTGTTGATGGACACTTAAGTTTATTAAATATCTTGGCTATTGTGAATAATGCTGCAATAAACACAGGAGTGCAGATATCTCTTCCACATACTGATTTAATTTCATTTGGATATGTACCCAGAAGTGGAATTGCTGGTTCATATGGTAGTTCTATTTTTAATTTTTTGAAAAACCTCCATATTGTTTTCCATAATTGCTATACTAATTTACATTCTCACCAGCAATGTGCAAGAATTCCTTTTTCTCTGCATCTTCACCAACATCTTCTATCTTTTTTTAAACATAAAAGGCATTATAATAGATGTGAAGTGATATTTCATTGTGACTTTGATTTGCATTTTCCTGATGATTAGTTTCATAAACCTGTTAGCCCTTTCAATGTCTTTTGAGAAATGTTCATTTGGGTCCTTTGCCCATTTAAAAATCATGCTGTTTTCTTGTTATTGAGTTGTTTGGCTTCCTTACATATTTTGGATATTATCCTCTCATTAGGTGTATGGTTTGCACGTATCTTCTCTTATTTCGTAGGTTGTCTCTTCACTCTGTTAGTTGTTTTCTTGGCTGTACAGAACCTTTTTAGTTTGATGAAATCCAGTTTATTTTTGCTTTTATTGTCAGTGCTTTTGGGGTCATATTCAAGAAATCTTTGCGAAGACCAATGTTAAGAAGCTTTTTCCTCTATATTTTATTATAGTAGTTTTGTAATTTCAGGTGATGTATGTATATGGGGTGATATAAGGGTCTAAGTTTATTATTCTGCATATGTTCAGTATCCCATTCTTGATAAAGAATTTCAGGCTGGGCACAGTGGCTCATGTCTGTAATCCCAGCACTTTGGGAGGCCGAGGCAGGCAGATCATGAGGTCAAGAGATAGAGACCATCCTGGCTAACATGGTGAAACCCCATCTCTACTAAAAAAACAAAAATTAGCTGGGCGTGGTGGTGCACACCTGTAGTCCCAGCTACTCAGGATGCTGAGGCAGGAGAATCGCTTGAACCCAGGAGGTGGAGGTTGCAGTGAGCAGAGATCATGCCACTGCACTCCAGCCTGGGTGACAGAGTAAGACTGCGTTAAAAAGAAAAAAATAATAGAATTTCAGCAATCTAGGAATAGAGGGTGACTTCTTCAACCTGATAAAGAATTTCTACAATAATCTATTCTAACATTTTATTTCCTGGTAATAGAATGAAAGCTTCTCTCCTAAAAAAGCTTTCCTCTTAAAAAAGGCAAGAATGTTCATTCTCACCAAAATTACTGAACATCATCCTGGAAAACCTAGCCATTGCAATAAATCAAGAAAAACAATAAAATAAAAGATGTATGAGGTGAGAAGGAAGAAATAAACTGTCCTTATTTTCATATGACATGATTTCCAACATAAAAATTCCCAGAAATTTATTTTTTAAATCCAAGGATAAATATGTAAGTCAAGCAGGGTTACAGAACACAGAACACAGACCTTGTTGTTTACAAGGTCAAAACACAAAACAATCATTATTATGCACGCTAGCAATGAACAATTTGATAACAAAAATTTTTTTAAAAATTACAAAACTCTCTACAGAGAAGAAATACATAGTAACAAACCTAACCAAACTGCAATATCTGTGTGCTGAAAACTACAAAATGCTGATGAAGGAAATCAAAGAAAATCTGAATAATAGAAAGATATGGCTTGCTCACGGATTAGAATATTAAACAGAGGAAGGTTGTTAATTCTGGCTAAATTATAATTTTATGCAAAATTCTAATGAAATTTTTGTGGGTTTTCTTCGTAGACGTAGACAAGCTGATTCTAAAATTTATATAGAGGGCCAAATGAATTAAAATGACTAAAGCAGTCTTAAAAATTAGAGAATTCATAGCACCTGACTTTTAGATATACTACAAAACTACAATAATCAAGAAAATGTGGTATTAGCAAAGAAACAGACTCATACATCAGTCTAGAGTAGTCTTGGAACAGGATAAACAATCAAGAAGTAAATCCATATAGGTATAACTATTTGATTTTTGGCAAAGGTGCAAAATAAGTAAATAGAGAAAGAACAGGTTTGGTTTCTTTGAAAAAATAAATGGTGTTGGAACAATTGAACACCCACATGCAAACAAAACATAACAAAAGGAAAAATTAAACTTTACACCTATATCTTTTTTTTTGTTTGTTTTTAGAAACTGATATTTATTTTTCGTCAACGTTATTTCCATGTTGCTTAAGAGCCTGTGCAAGAACAGCTTAAGACCATTCAGTGGTTGCTCCTACGCATTCAGTGGCCTGAGTGGTGGGAGCTGCAGACCAGTCTTTTGTGGCAGGCCAAGCGCTCCAGTCTTCAGTAGGGAACTGCTGAATAGGCACAGAGTGCACCTGCACATCTTTAGACCAGTCTGCAACCTCAGACTGAGTAGCAGTGAACTCAGGAGCTGGAGCAGTCCATTCACCTTGAAAATCCTCCTTAGTCACAGCGTTTTCAGCAGCAGCCTGCTCTTCTTTTTCAATCTACAGAATCTCTGTAGAAGTAGAGATCAGGCATGACCTCCCATGGGTGTGTATGGGAAATGGTGCCACGCATAGGCAGAACTTCCCGGACCAGTATCCGTCACATCAAACCCACTGAGTCAGCTCCCTTGTTGTTGCATGGAATGGCAATGTCCACATAGCGCAGAGGAGTATCTGTGTTACACAGAGCAATGGTAGGTAGGTTAAGATAAGATGTCTCCGTGAGAGGCTGGTGGTCAGTCCTGGGGTCAGTAACCACAGGAAGTCATGGCTCCCGGAAGGCTGCCTGTATCTGGTTAGTGAAGGTTTCAGGAGTGAAGCGGCCAGCAATTGGAGTGGCTCCAGTGGCAGCAGCAAACGTCAGCTTGGCCCTCTAGCCAGTATTCCTGGAGGATATAACACTGACATCAGCAGGGTTTTCAATGGCAACAATGGCACGAGCTGCCAGCAGAAGCTTCTCCCAGGTCCTCTTCAGATTTATGATGTAGATCACATCACTTTTCCTTTTATAGATGTACTGTTCCATTTGGAAGTCAAGATTGGCGCCACGTAAGTGGGTTCCTGCTGCAAGGAATTTAAGGACATCCTCCTTCATTTGCAGGACATCAAGGGCTCCAGACATTGTGAAAGTTTCCCTTTAAGTTACGACGGGAATTCACAACAAAGCTGTATGGACCCTTCTGTAGGTAGCGCGGAAAGGCTGTATCACTATTAATGCAAAGTAGATAATAGATCTAAATGTAAAACCTAAAACTATAAAGCTTTTAGAAGAACACATGAATTGGGGTTAGGCAAGATATCAAAGAGTTATCAGACATGATATCATAAGTGTTATTCATTTATAAAAAAGATAAATTGGATTTTAATAAAAATTTAAAACTTTTTGCTCTCGGAAGGACACTGTTAAGAAAATGAAAAGATAAGCTATGTACTAGGATAAAATATTTTCAACGTATATATCCAACAAAGGACTTCTGTCCAAAATAGAAAAAGAACCCTCAAAATTCAACAGTAAGAAAATAAAAAGCTCAATTAAAATATAGGTAAATGATTTGAACAGATACTCAACAGTGAGGATATATGGATACAAATAACCACACAAAAGGATATCTACTATTTTTCATCATTGTAGATATGAAAATTGAAACCACATAATTTTCAATATTGAATAGTTAAATTTAAGAATATTGAAAATACCTATTGCTGATGAGGATGCAGAGAAATTTTAACTCTCATACATTCTTTATGGGAGTTACACAGGCCTTGAAACTGAACAAAATTGTCCCCTACTTCAAAATTAATTGGAACTGGTGACTCTTTATCCCTTCCAATTTTTCCCTTTTGGAATGAAAAAGTTTATACTGTCTATATTTAATGTCTGTGCCTGTCCCACCATTGTGTTTTGGATTCAGATAACTTGCTTTCTTGTTTTACATGTCCATAGAAAGACAACTATTTTTTCCCAGAATGGATCATACCTAGTGATATGGTTTGGTTCTGTGTTCCCACCCAAATCTCATGTTGAATTGTGATCCTGACTGTTGGAGGTCAGGACTGGTGGGAGGTGATTAGATCATGGTTCAGGAAGTCTGGAATAGGTTAGCAATTTAAAAAAAAGTTAAACATACACTTACATAACCAAGCAATCCCATATTTTTGGTATTTACCCTAGAGAAATGAAACATATTCACAAAATCTTATTAACTAACATTCACAGCAGCTGTATTTGTAATTTCTAAAAACTGAAAACCAGCATAACATCCTCAGTGGATGAATTGATAAACCACTTCGGTATATACATATAATGGAATACTTTCTACTCAGCAAGAAAAAGAAAGAAACTGGTCTCGTATACAATTCTTGGATGCATCTCAAAAGAATTAAGCTGAGTGAAAGAAGATAATCTGAAGAAGTTACACACTGTTGTTTTTATTTAAAGCAACATTCTAAACAAAACACTGTAGTACTGGAAGGTGGCAACAAATGTCTAAAAATATGGAAGTGGATATCCTATTCTCATTGCCACTTGTGGGAAATTCAAGATATTTATGGGGTGATAAAAGATATGGGCATGGGGTGGCAGTACCACATGCAGGCTTTATCAGGACAATGCCTTGACAGATTTGTATATTAGAAGTCTCTCACTGCATGAGACTGTCCAGAGGCTATGGTGTGGGGGCCACCACTCTGAAGGGAAAGAAGACAGAGTACTTCTGTGGGAGAGGGCTTAGGAGACAGAACTTATGTGTCTACATGATGTCACTCTAAGTAGCCCACAAGAGATTCTCTAGGTGAGAGGGTTCCAGAGCATAGCAGCAGTTTGGGATCTTTACAGATTTGGAGTTTATCCTATGGCTAGCAGATGCTGTGTGCACTTCCATGAGGCATGCAAAGCAAACAGGCTCTAAACATCTAAAATATGCTTATTTGTGGAATATTTAAAACAATGAGATATACGAAAATTTGAGTTTGGCCCTATTATGCTTATAAATTAATGGGTCCTTGCCTGCTGTGAAGAAGTAAACAACCTAGGCGCCAATATTCAGAGGTCATAATTAGTGTGATTATATAACAATTGGTTAATGGGTAGAGGCTGGAGGAAATTAGGGTACATAATAAAAAACAAAACAAAACACCCTAGATTGCCTTGAAGAGACTGTGGGTAGAAATCGGAATGTTACAGGCAATTCTGTTAAGGAGTCAGGAAATGAGGAACATGTTATCGAGATTGAAAACACTTTATACATAACTGAGGAATTGTTATATAGTGGCAGAAAACTTGGCTGTATTGTCTTCTGTAGTTGAGGAGAAAACAGAGATTAGAAACAATAAAATTTGATGGGTAGCTAAAATGATTTCCAAATAAAGCATTGAAGGTGCGGCCTATTTTTTTTCCTGCTTAGTAAAAAGCAGTAGGAAAGAAATAAAGTAAGAAAGTTAAGCAAAAAGGAATTTGCACTTGATAAATCAGGAGGTTATTGGTCTATCCAGATTGTAAAGCCTGCTAAAATGAGGAAAGTCACTGTCAGGAAAGTGTGCAATGTAGAAGACGCCAAGGAAATGGTTGGATAAACTTTTATTGATGCACTTAGGTGTGTGATTAATGGATCCACTCAGCCATCTCAGTGGAAGCCAGGGATAGAGATGGGGTTATCCAGGAAAGATCTATGGAGGACTCTCTTGTCTAATGCCATAGACCCTTGTGACATACACAGGAGATCCACAAATTTATTGAGAATGTCATATCAGCAGGAACACTCCTAGCTTGGACTGAAAGGAATAGAGAAAGGACAACATGAGAGAAAGATATTGAGCTTCCAGAACTACACTGGCAGGAAACTGCAACTGCAAACATGTGCTCCCACTTAAGCAGAAGGAATAATAACTCTCTTTATTATTCCTTTAGAGGAGACCGTGCATGTGGAACAGAGGCCTGAGGAACTGCCACAATTTCAGATGGCACAGCATCAAGGCACAGAGCATTACTACGGGCCTTGAAACCTAACAAAAGCGTCCTGTTTCAAACTGAATTGGAATGGTGGCTCTTTATCTCTTCCAATTTATCCCTTTTGGAATGAGAAAGTTTATACTATCTATATTTAATGTCTGTGCCCGTCTCACCATTGTATTTTGGATTCGGATAATTTGTTTTCTTGTTTTACATGTCCACAGAAAGAGAAAAGTTTTTTTCCCAGAAGGGATCATACCTAGTGACATGGTTTGGCTTTATGTTCCCATCCAAATCTCATGTTGAATTGTGATCTTGTTGGCAGTCAGGAGTGGTGGGAGGTGATTAGATCATGGGGGTGGTTTCTAATGGTTTAGCACCATCTCCCCAGTGCTATCTTGTGATACACTTTTCATGAGATCTGGTTGTTTAAAAATGTGTAGCACTTTCCCCTCTGCTCTCTGTCGTCCTTCTGGTCTGCCATGTGAAGAAGGTGCTTGCTTCCACTTCACCCTTACACCATGATTATAAGTTACTTGAGGTATCCCCATCCATATCTCTTGTACGGTCTCTGGAACTGTGAGTCAATTAAACCTCGTTTCTTAATAAATTATCCAGTATCAGGTAGTTCTTTATAGCAGTATGAGAACAAACTAATACACTCAGAGACTAATTTGTACCTGATTTAGTTGATGAGATTGGGACTTTTGAGCTGATGATATTTAGATGGGACTTTGTACTTAGAATGGATGATGTAATGGTTGGGACTTTGGAGAATATGAGTGGTATGAGTATATTTTATATGTGTGACAGGTGTGAATTTTGGGGGGCCAGAGGGTGGACTGTAGGAGGTTGAATGATGCCACTCTCAGAAGATATGTCTATATCCTTATCCCCAGAACCTGACAATGTGATTTTATTTGGAAAAAGGGTCTTTGTTGGTGCAGTTAAGCATCTCAATATGAGATCAACCTGGATTATGTAAATGAGTTCTAAATCCAATGACATCCTTTTAAGAGAAACACAGGACAGAAACACATAGGAAGATGAGAAGATCATAAGAAGACAAAGGCAGAGATGGGAGTTATGCAGCCACAAGCCAGGAAATAACCTAGAGCCATCAGGGAAGAGGCAAGGAAGAATTTCCCCCTAAAGCCTTCAAAGAGAGTGACACCTTGATTTTGGACTTCTGGTGTCCAGAACTATGAGATAACTCATTTTGGTTGTTTTCAACCACCGTTTGTGGTAACTTGTTATGGCAGCCCTAGGAAACAAATACATATACTTTGTTACATTTTTAGATTTAGAGCTCTTTTAAGTGAGGATCACACTGGTATTATAGAAGAACCCTCATGTACATTTGGTTTCTTTGTGTACGTTTGGGAGCCTGGGATTCTTGTTGTTGAAATGATAGCGACAGAAAATACAGCCCTAAGTTTACACAGACTTCTTAATAGCCCCCATGAAGAGCAACTCTTAAGAAAGCATAAGATTCTACGTCACATTCAATTTTGGGTCTCATTGGGCAATATAGGATTCTACCGAAAAGGTATGTTGTTTTTAATCTTCCAATTTGTAGCAGGATTACTTCTACAATGGGAGGTAATTTCAGTAGGTAGTTAGGACATAAGGACAAGAAGGCAACTTTTCTGAGCTGGTTTTCTTATCTGTGAAATAGGAAAGCATTAGGATCTAACTTGCATCATTGTTTATTTTACATGAGAAAGAATGTGAACATGCTTTTTAAGCTATAAGACACCACACAAATGTACTTTAAAACTATTAATATTGCTAGATGATTTTAAGCTGAAATATTACAACATTTACACTTTATGCTAACATGTTTTCTCCCTCATTCCTATTTCATTAAATTAATTCCAACACTGAGTCATTTATCTTGACATCTCATCAGTTTCCACAATTTTGGATCACTTGGCTATTCCACACCATCATCCAAATTCAGATTAAGAAGTTTGCCTCTAGTTTTTGAGGCTATTATAACAATGTTTGGAAAATTGTGAATGAGCATTTTTTTCTGGAATTAATATATTTATCAAGTCATTCCCAGTGGGCCATCACTTACCCGTTACATATCCAGCTATCTAGCTATTTTGATAATTTTCTTATTGATAAAAGGTTGGCCATGAAATTTTTACTTGATTTGAGAAATCTAGCTATTCAATTATTATTGATTTTAATGTTATAGTTTTGCTGTGTTTAAGAACAAAAACAAAAACCCTAGGTATTAACTGAAAATCCCAGTTAATAACCTGAATAAACATTGCAAAATAATTTCTTATATTTGAATTTTTCTGTTTTAACTAGGATATTATACGTTGCTGACTATAGCCTTCATGCTAATTAACTTCAATCAAATGAAGACTCTGATTCTAGCAAGAAATGTCAGAAAGAATAAGGTAAAAATAATATGTCAGCCTTCACTCTTCATGCTGAAGCCTTTAGCTCCAAAATAATAGAATGAAAGGCTATGGAAATTCGTTCATGCAAAACAATTACTTCCCATATTTGACTCATTACCATATAGCCATGTTAACTCATGGTGGATTCATTTCCTTTATTTGCTTTCTCTGAAGGCATTTTTTTCACTTTACTGTTTACTGCTTGTCCAATATTTTGTTTTTTCTACTATTCTTTGTTCAAACTGCAAAAATCTGAAATAAAAATATAATATAGAAGTATAGGCATCAGCTAACATTTTCTATGGCATATGGTACTTCAGATGCCATATGTACCAGTGTTTAGTGATTCTGGCAAAGAGGCATAGAATGGTGAAATCCAACTGCCAGGATTGCTGAAAACAAATATGTAAATGCTCCAGGGCTTTTGTTATTCATAACATACCTCTAACACAGCACATACAATATGCTGTTCATTCTGTAACTAGTATAACTAATAAACCACATTTTTCTCTCTTATTTTTTAAGGCCTCTCCAAGTCTGTATGGTCTTCTGACTCTAACCTTCAATCTCAGTACTGAACTCTATATTTTAGGAAGCTCATATTAATGAAAGAGGCCTAGGGGAATACATTCATCCTTTTTCAAGGGCATTTATTTATTTTTCAAATTAAAATCCAAAGTCTTCTGCAGGCATCTTCTGTGAAACAAAGAAAATGCACTGGGTATGTTCTCTAGACACCAGGCAGTCACGAGGCAAAAGCAGATAACACCAGGAAAGGCAAATTTTGGCAGAAGAACAGGAGAAGTTTCTTTACTGTGAGGGTGTCCAGTGGTCTTCCCCACACTGAAGTTCCATAGGATGTAATGTAAGAGGAAGTCTATGGATATAATTACTTTTGAAAAGGTACACAATGAGAATTTTAATACTTTTAAGCTGCTACAAGCATTCAAGCCCATGTAAAAAAAATCACAATTTTGAGATAATCATTATGTAAGAAATAAAAGTCAGCCTTGTTTGTTTTGTTTTCTCTGCTAACTGCACATAGCTGATGGAAAATAACCTCCTCCTTTCTGTTTCATAGATGGGCAGTAGACACAAAGTGGAAAGAACAGCGAGAGTACTTAGAGGTCATTATGTTCCACTTGTCATCAGACAAGCCGTTTAACCTCTTTGAGCTTGTTTCCATATGTATGATGAGGATAATATCTTCCCTGGGGATATTACTGTGAGGATAATATGCTATAATCTTTGTGAAAGTGCACTTATCTAGCATTTTTATTATTAAAAAGAAAGCATCTGTAGATTTACTGGTAGTTTAGAGATCTAAGGAGGCTCGTACTACTCACCACTGTTTTTCAGTACGCACAAAAATGTAGAAAGAATATTGGAGACGGAAAATTGTGAATGTACCAACGAGATGGTCAATGATAAGAATGACTCCTTCTGGGTTTAGTTCTTTTAGGTTGAAACAAATGAAACTATATAGGTCAAAAATGATCTAATGTAAGACAAACTATTTAGTCATCCTTAGCTGTTTTGATGGATTCCCACGGTATCACATACACACATGCTCACATTTTCCTTTCAAGTTTCTGCAGTAGCTATTAACTAGAAGAGCAGTCTGATTTCCATTTCTGCTTACCAGCTTCTTCCTTTTTCATCACCCCATTATCAAATTATTTGATTATAACTCTGAAATGGTTCTTAAATGTGAACTTTTTATGCCCACTGCCAGTGCCACAGTCCAGCTATTTCTTGCTAAGATTGTTGAAATATTCTCCATCTAATATTCAACCTAATAATTCTCTGTGACAGCAACAATAGTAATTTGAAGGACTGGGAAGAGGAGTAGGAATATAGTTGGCAAGGTCAGCAAATTATTTCCAGGTTTAGTCTGAGATCCAAGATATAATTATAAACAGATGTTAAGGACAATAACAGAATGTTGGGAGGAGGAACTGAATACTTATGAAAGGGGTACTAAGAGTTGTTCTAAAGAGGAAAATAAGATCAAGAATCAGGAAACTCTAATATAAGGTGATGAGGCTGGGTGCAGTGGTTCATGCCTGTAATCCCAGCACTTTGGGAGGCCGAGGTGAGTGGATCACCTGAGGTCAGGAGTTTGAGACCAGCCTAGCCAACATGGTGAAACCCTGTCTCTACTAAAAATGCAAAAATTAGCTGGGTGTGGTGGCTCATGCCTGTAATCCCAGCTACTTGAGAGGCTTAGGCAGGAGAATCGCTTGAACCTGGGAGGTGGAGGCTGCAGTGAGCCAAGATCGCACTACTGCACTCCAGCCCGGTCAACAGAGCGAAACTCTGCCTCAGAAAAAAAAAAAGAAATATATATATCTATATATCTATATATATATACACACATACAGTAATGAAACTTGCATTAGAACAGCTATTAAAGTTGCCTGCCCTGTAGTCTCATTGTCAGTAACTGGGGTTGGGGGATAAAACCTCTTCTTACCTATAGGTGATGATTGTTTGGAGGGAGTGATTCTATGGTTTGACCTTTATATAGGAAAAGTAGATGGAGCTATGTTATAGGGGAGCTTATGAAAAAATCCCCAAATGGGGCCTGAGATCTCTGGAATGCTATCATGTAATAATAATTTCCTTCCCATAGGTACAATAAGACTGATAAATCCAACTATTTTTCTTAAACAAGGTGGCCTAAGTTTGCTGATCTCTTTTATGTAATGTTCTGTCACTTAATTGAAAAAATAAATAAATGAAATTCCTTTATAAAAGCTCCTTTTGTTTTGAAATTATATCGTATTAGTCTTTTGATACCTTTAAATCCACACATAAAATAGGAAAAAATCGTGTCTCTGAATTCTAGGCAAGACAAAAGGAAGTTACAATTGAGTTTCATCACAGGTGGAATACTTCCAAATGCTGCCTGGAAAAAATAATAAGTAATAATAAGTGAAGAATACTTTTCTCCCAGGTATAGTAGATAGGAAAAAACCTGCAGAGAATTAGCAATTACTGAGAAATCATGATGACAACTTAGGGACTATTGACAATTAAAATTTTTCATCTTCAGACAGAGAACATGGCTGGATTAGAGGGGAAAGCATTCTCAAATTCAGCAGAAACAGTAACAAATTGCTGTCCTGATTTTATTTATAAACCCATGTCGTTTTAGATTATCTGTTCTAATTGCAAAATCTTTCAGTAAGAAAAAAAAGTAATAGTTGCGAGAAAAGCTTTCAAAATAGCTTATCTCTGATCATTAGAAAGAAACAAAGTAATACAGACATACTCCAGAGAGTGGTATCATCCACCATTGATGGTAACAATTCTCAAGTGAGACTGGGTCATGATACAGCTTAAATTTTTGGTAAAGAAGACAGACTTCAAAATAGGTACAAGCTGCTCTCATGAACTAATAAATACATTTTTGAAAATTCAGAAAGAATAGAAAAAAGTGCTTCAGAATAAAGTAGGGGTCTCAAGAACAGCAGAGAACCCAAGACAGACGCAATAATCAATAGATTAATTAATCAACAAATCAATTCAGTACCCTAGAACCAGCTTCTATAGGAGGCACTGAGGATAGAATAAAAACATAACACAGATTCAACTCTCAAGAAGCTTGTAATCTAGTAGAAGAGGAAGAAAAGACCGAAATACTATGCAAGACTCATTTGAATCATGGTATGAGAAAAAGAGTGATTCGTTCTACTGGACTTGGTCAGAAGAGGCTTCACAGAGGGACACATATCTAAGCTTGATCTTGAGAGATAAATAGGAGCCTTTTGTTTTGGAGAGTAAGGGAAAACATTTCAATTAGAAGAAACAGCATTTAGCAGACTTAGAAGATCTGAAAGAGTCATGTCGGAAAGACTAGGACACAGAAAAACAGAACTTATGGAAACAGTGGGCTACAGCAAAAATGAACTTGGCCGATGAACTGAAAAAATAGAGATTTTGGAGACTGGGAAGTGCAGTATTACTAATTTAACAGCAAGAAAATTATTGTTCAATCAACAACAGGTTATCATATATTTCTAATTTCCCCCACCTCCTTATCCCTTCATCCTATTCACCTCCTGATGACCACCTCACTAAATGTTTCTGTAGCTAGTCTCCATGGCACTGTAGCACGGCTAAACCAGCTGAGGGTTTATAAGCAACTAGCACAAGTTATTGTGCATGATGACTCCAGGAGTTATACCAGGGACGTTTCTTGGATGCCCCAAAGTTGTTGGGTCACAGCCCTTACTCCAGCCTAGTTTTGCCCATGCTTGAAATGGCCAAAGGGAGTGAATTTTCTGGTGAATTCTGATGAAGAGCAAAATACAAAGAAGGGCAATGGTATCGTCGCTCATTCATATGCAAAGAGAGAAATACATTGCGTAAACATTTTGTTTATCAACTAGAATACAAAATTATTAATATTTTATTTTAAACCACATTTTCTTTTTATTGTGACTGTATCTTTTCTTGTGAATCATCTTCTGAACACACTTAGAGTTGATGATGGGAAGTAAATTTTAAATGCAAGTAAGTTCTGTGGTGAGGAGGTAGGATCTCAGCATTATTCCATCAACATGATGCATTTTCTAAGTAAATGTTTACCATTATAATGGCACATACATAAAAGCTCACGTACAAATGTTGCCAATAAGGACTTAAGAAAGCATTTCTATATATCCATTCTATAAAATAAATATAAAATATTTTATGGAATACTTATAAATACATATTTCCACAACATACTTTAGAAAAGAACCAAACCCCTTTATGACAAATCTGCCAACAGAATAAACAATCTTGACTACAATGCAAAGCTTGCCAAGTCCTGTCAGAAAGCTCTTGTGCCTCAGTGTAATTCTTGAATAGTGAAGAACCACTAAAATAACCCTTTCACTCAGACTCCTGTGATTCCCTGCAGGGAGCTTTCACTGCAGTTGTCACTGTGCAAAAGCAATCAAATTTAACATATAGATACAGGGAGAGAAGGCGTGTGAGAGCATATGTGTGTGTGCTCTCACATATGTGTGTATGTATGTATATAGAAGGACAGCTGATGTCTCTGATCTAATAAAATATATATGAATAATTGGCAAAGGGGTCTGTAGGACTTCAATGTCTTTAGTTTTTCACCCAGTGGACTTCAAATTTTATTAGAGCTAATGGAGATTTTCATTGAGTTTATGTTCATGGATTTTTAAGTCCATATACTCAGCAGGACAAAATTATCATATAGAACAGTATTTCTCAAATGGTAGGTTGTGATTGATTAGGAGGTTATAAAATCTATTTAAAAAGTTGTGATCAGCATTTTAAAGATTGAAGTAAAATAGAATAGAAAACTACAGAAAAGTAGTATAGTATATAGTAAATGTAATATTTTTGTGAAATTTTAGTGGGTATATGAATATGTGTGTTTGTAAGTGTGCATGTATATGTTTTTATTGGGCCATGGTCTCCACTTTAAAATGTGAATTGTAATAAAAAAAGTTTGAAATTCACTGACATAGAGTTTCTCTTTTAATTCTGTGTTCAGTACAGTATTTTCATCCTGGAAACAATGAACTCCCTGAAGGCAAGTATTGGATGTATTTCATCTTTATACCCTCCACAGCCCCTGAAGTGCCATGCACTTAGTGGAAGATCACTAAAGAATTATCAAACAAATGTTGAGAACTTCAGCTGGTTGTATTTAAAAGGATAATAAAGATAATAGTTTGCATTGATACAGCACTTCATACTTTTCAGAGTGCTTTCCCATCAATGATCTCATTGATAATTCAGAACTATTCTGTTGGAAGGAAGCACATGGACTGTTGCATTAATAAATTTAATTATCTCCTAAGTGTGCTTCATATTTCAGTGGTACACAATAAGACATTCTTTAAGTAGACCTTAACATTTATGTCTAGAGAGCATCCAGGTTTTATGGGACCTGAAGCTTATAGAATTTTGGAGACCTTCATTAAGAACAAACACTCAAAATTAGGAATAGAAATGTAGGCAGAATAGTAAATATTTATTTACAAGGAGAAAGTAAATTATAAAAACTAAATAAATGGAAAATCTGGCAATTATTACAAACATTATAAAATCCAGAAAAATATAAGCAATATGAGATTTAAATCAATGTCTGGCATCTCTATAATATTTTCTTCGTCCTTTTTTGTTGCACACTTTTGTTTTTCTTTTTGAGACAGAGTCTCACTCTATCACCCAGCCTGGAGTGCAGTGGCAGGATCTCGGCTCACTGCAACCTCAGCCTCCCAGGTTCAAGAGATTCTCCTGTCTCAGCCTCTGTTGCATACACTTTGATTGCCTCTCTTGTGGCAAAAAAGTTGTAGGATTGTTTTTAATAAAGAGAATAGAATATTTATTTATCATAGCTAATTGAAATTACTTTTTTATTTTCGACAGGTTAGATGCATAGAACATCATCTATGATTTCATAGTCATACTTGCTATTTGTACTACTCCTAAGATTTGTGCCCTTCAAATACATGAATTCTTATGAATTCCAATCTCTGTTTCCTCAGCTCAGCAATGCTACTGGTCTCTGGCTCTTCCTCGACTGTGGCCTGTAAACTTTCTGCAAGTTGTAAGCTAGTGCAAATGTAGGGTTCAGTTTGTTTGTTTCCCAGCTTTCAGAGATCACAGTCCTGTTTGGCCTGCTGTCTCATGTCTGAAAAGTATTTTTTTCATTTATTTCATATATTTATTCATGTTTTTCATGTTTAAAGTGGGAGGGTAAATCTGATTTGCATTATTTCATCTGGTCAACATTGGAAGTCTACAATATCATTTTTAATTTCTGCATAGTATTCCATTTTATAGATGTGCCATATTTAAACTAATGACCTATTATCAGATATTTACCGTTTTTCAATAATGAAACTTCTTTTGCATAAATATGAAAATATTATGCAGATATATTTCTATACTCTTTCAAATATTTCTTTACATAAAATTTCTGGTCTAAGAGTACATAAAAACCAAGAATTTTTTTCTGTAAATTATAAGATATTACTTACCCATCTAAAGTAAGTGCTGGGAATCCTTAGGAACTAACTAAATAACAGTCTTCTTGACTACATAATTTTTAAACAAACTGATACATAATAAAAAGAAATGCCAGCTGTAAGCCAAAATGGCAGGTTTGTTGCCTAGAGAAGGTAAGTTAGGTGGTGTGAGGGCTAAAGAAGCCTGCCAACTGAACACAGGGTAAGTAGAGTTGCCCAAGGACAGATAATCCTAGACCAGGAGAAGCTTCATCATATTTAATTACTCCTCCGGAGACAGAGTTTACGGTCTGAAACTCCCAGTAAAAGGCCACTAGCAATAGTTTCCCAGTAGGAAGGAGGAAGAAACTGAGCTGACAAAATGCTTGTTTACTTTTCCAAAATCTACCAATCGATAAGTCATTCCACTTCCTGGGACAGATGATAAAGTTGTATAAAAGATGCCAGCAGTTGTGCTAATTAAGGTCTCTCCAATATGGAAGAAAATATCAGGAAGGGATAAGAAATACTTTCCTGCTAATAACAATAGTTATTGATAACTTACTATGTACGAAGTAATACTCATAATTTCATTAAATCTTTACTTTAACTGTATGAAGTAGATACCATTATTCTTATTTTATAGAAAGGCTTAAGGTCTGTACTGAGGGAACCTAGAACTACTCTCTAAAGTTCACAGTACTTCTCAGTGTGTTTTGCACACTACTTGTATCGAAAGTACTTAGGAAACCTTTAAATTATAGTAGATAGTACCATTTCTTAAATATGTGAAAAGTATAACTTTTATAAAGTTGTCATGTAATTGAATTTAATTTCTGCTTAGAGCCACTGTTCCCAATTGATGACAGAAAAATTAATCTACCCACATTAAGTTAAACCTAGAAATTAAGGATTATTCTCAATTCAGATTCAAACTTCTACTCCACCCTTGTTTCCTGAGGTTGTACCTAAGCTCTGGAGGTTGTTTTTTTTTTCATCTTTACTTGTCAGGAATTCTACAATCACACCGAATTCTATTCTCTCTCTGTTAGGCTCCTTTTCCTTGTCAGGGCTAAGGGTAGATGGAGAATGGGCGTATCTAGCTCATCCCTGAACCTATTGTTTATGAATAATCCTTGGTTTTGTTGTTCAAAATAAACATTTTTCCTTCTTTCAAAGCTGTAGACTTTGTGGAATTTAAAGGTATATTAAAAAGTAATAATTAGGTTCTTGTTCTTTTTGTACCTCAAAGTAATGCTGCTTCTGACTGAATAGGGGAAAAACAACAAGAAAACTAAGTAATAGGGGTGAGAAATGGGGAGAGAAACCTGTTATCTCAAAATATTAGCCTCTTTTGTAAACATGCAGTAGGATATTTTAAATGAGAACCTCTGGGCATGGGGTCTGGGATAATCATTTTAGCAAATTTTTCAGTTTGGCCCTGATCTCAGAGGGACCCCAGAGGATTTTTTTTTATTTTTTTGAGACAGAGCCTCGCTCTTGTCGCCCAGGGTGGAGTGCAGTGGTGCGATTTCAGCTCACTGCAACCTCCGCCTCCTGGGTTCAAGCAATTCTCCTGCCCCAGCCTCCCAAGTAGCTGGGACTACAAGCACCCAGCACCACACCCAGCAAATTTTTGTGTTTTTAGTAGAGATGGGGTTTCACCATGTTGGCCAGGCTGGTCTCGAACTCCTGACCTCAGGTGATCTGCCCGCCTTGGCCTCCCGAAGTGCTGGGATTACAGGCTTGAGCCACCACGCCCAGCCACTCCAGAGGATTTTGAGGAGGCTGGGAATGACCTGATAGGTGTCATAATGATGTAAATACCTGGAATCTTAGATTAGAAATAAAAATATACAAATATAAAAATATTCTGATTTATCAGAATGTATGTGATAGAAAATCAAGGCACCTTCTGCAAAGTGTTTTGACTTTCTATCTTCTTTCTGTGCTTTTCGCTAGATTTCTAGCTTTTCCCCTGTATATTTAGTCTAATTTACCTTATGTTCCACTTCTCCTTCTCTTAGATGAGGGGACTGGTTTGAATGGAGTGAAAAAATTAGTAATTATTGGGTATCTATGATGTTCCTGAAACTTTATATGATCTCAGCTAATCTGTACAACATTCAATTCATTCTCATAAAGGTTAAATAAATTGCTCAAGATTGCACAGGTAGCAGATGACAGAGCAAAGATTAAAATCCAACCTATCTGATATCAAAGTCGGGCTTTAATTACTTTACTTTGCTACTTTCCTTGACAGAGGGTTTAGTGATACCCCTTGATTCCCTCATTACCAACATTTCCTCTACTTCACAGCCATATGGATGGCCTAATCCTCATTCTTCCTTTCCCCATACTAATTATCAGATTCCACCTGTAAAGGAAATTTTATGTATGGTATTGTCTTTTCTGTTTTAGATTTCTGATAACAATACCATTTTTTATATACGCTTTGTAAAGTCCTCTATAGAGTTGTGATTCAAGGCGTTGTAACACTGACATGGATTTGAAGCTCAGTCTCACAGTTGTGTGAGCAAGTTAACTTCTGAGATCCTCACATTGCTTTTTCTGGTTGCTGTATCAGGACCCATTTTGTAATATTTAATTCAATATATTTTAATGATTTCAATATACATTACTTTTTTCTCTTAAACAAATTTCTTTAGGCCTAAAGTATCTAGAGTTCCCTTTTATGTGGGATTATCTTTCTTAATAATATTTTGGTTCAGAGTGGCTGAATTGGTAAGAGAAGACATAGGATAGATACACGAGAAGTGAGTGGGAGGACAAGAGTTTCCAGAGAGAGGAAAAGGGACAGAGAAGGTTGTTATCCATTTTTGGCCTGCTTTCAGGTTTCCTGGGGTTTGGAATTCTCTAGCTCATGGCCCCACTTCTTTCCTGGTCTCAGGTCAGTGCAGCTGGCTGCATCCCAAGGACTTTTTTGTCTATGCAGCCTGCTGTGCTGATGCCCTTGCCTTTTTCTTTCTCTACATCTCTGGAAAGTCTCTGTGTACACATGCACTTCTTGGAATATTCAAGGGCTACATTTTAAAATAAATTACTTATCAAAAGCATTTTTCCCATAACAAGTGAAGAAAAGCATGGATACACTTATTTCTTTGAACACATTAAATCTGTATATAGTGGAGGTGATATTCATGTAAAAACTTCCTCTGGAGCCCCCTGTGCTGGATGGTATGGATTGTGCAGTGGCAGAATTTAAACTTCCAGTTAAAATTATCTCAGTCTTTTCTGGCTTAAAACAGTCCTATCAAATATAACTACTCAGACATCTCAAAGTACAGCTTTCTTTGAGAATTCCTTCTTCTATTCTGCTTGAAAGATAACATCTGAATTCAAGAGGGCATATAGGTCTTCTCGGTCATAGGAGGAGTAGGCTTGATCTCAAATGGGCTTTAGGTTCTCCCTGGCTTCTGGGAAATGTTCTTTGTCCCTCATAGTCAACTAGGCACCCTTCTGGAATCACCTGCTAAAGTCTGCATCTGATGAAACTTGTGGTGGGGCCTCTTGGCATGGCCAGTGAACAGGGATCCTCCACTTACAGAACTGCCTCCCCCTTAAGTCTTGGCAGCATTACCAATCCTCAGCAGTTTCAACAATGATGCCACCACATTTCTCATCCCCCTTAGCTGGCCATCTGGCTCTTAACTCATTTACTTCACATGAGAATTTCTAAATCTCTTACAAACCTCACAAGAGAAAGACTCAGCAGGTGCTATTCCTGGTCTTTTCTTTGTGCCTAATGGGCACATGACAGATTCTAATCTCCTGGACATCCTTTGTTAATGACAGGCAATGTAGGTGATGATCATGCCAGAATCCTAAATGAGAAAGGAAATAAACTTTTTATTTTCCTCTCTGCTTACTTGTATATCTTAATATGTATTCCTCCCTTGAAACAAACATTTGAGTGCAAGTAGCTTATCTGGGAGATAATCTGTGGAAACACTGGTAAGGGAGTGGGGAAGTGAGATGAGGAAGGAAAGAAAGCCAACAATGAGTGCATTACTAAATAAATTATGATGTGCTTTAATAAAGGAAGTATCCTCTTAGCCCTCCTGTGGAATATGACTGGTGGGTTCTCTTGTCATATGTAATAATATGAGATTTTGGCCCCATCATCAATACTCTACCAAGGCAATTCTAGCAATTCTACCTCATTTATTGTAGGCCATTATCATCTTCATGCTTCAAGGACTATCCCAGCAGCAAGATAAGATTGGCTCAAAGCATCTTTGCTCCCAGGGTCCTGATCATGGAAGAGTGTCTATAGATCAACACACTCTCTTAAACAGCTTTATATCTGCCCCTTGCTACTCTATGCCCACAGATTCATTTTGGTCATGATCTGAATACAAGTTTGTCAGCTTCTATGGTTTTTTTTTTTTTTTTTTTGAGACGGAGTCTCACACTGTCGCCTGGGCTGGAGTGCAATGGCACAATCTTGGCTCACTGCAACCTTCTCCTTCTGAGTTCATGCAATTCTCCTGCCTCAGCCTCCTGAGTAGCTGGGATTAGAGGTGCACACCACCACACCCAGCTAATTTTTTGTATTTTTAGTAGAGACGGGGTTTCACCATGTTGGCCAGACTAGACTTGAACTCCTGACCTCGTGATCCACCCACCTCAACCTCCCAAAGTGCTGGGATTACAGGCGTGAGCCACCACACCCGGCCTCAGCTTCCATGGTTTTGGGGGTAATCTTTTTCTTTTATACCAGATATAGTACTTCCCTAGTCAGGGTTAGGTTGAAAGTTATTTCTGATTGTTGATCTAAGGCAGTGGTTCTCAAAGCACAGTCTCTGGACCAGGAGTACTGCCTGGGAATTTGTTAGAAATGCAAATTCCAAGTCCTATCCCAAGCCTACTGAATCAGAAAATCTAGGGATGAGGACTCAGTAACCCATGATTTAACTAGCCCTCCAGGCGATACAGATCCATGTTATAGTTTGAGAAACACTTATCTAGAAGCCATGAGCAGAAATGGGAGCAGATCTTCAGAAGGTCAGATATCATCTTGTGGGGCACCTGCCTCAGATGGGGCCTTTTCATGGTCTCCAGGTAAGGAAAGGCTGTTCTCTGCCCAAGAGCCAAAAGTTGCTTCTGCTAACTAAAAAGTGTTGGGAGATTTAGTGGTGTAATATATTCATGTGTATATACTCAGATATTCTTATTTTAAATTTTAGTTTTCTATTTTTCTTATCAGGGCCAGGACTGTAACATAGGGAATCGCTAATGGATTGTACAGTTAGCCTTATTTGTAACTTTTACTTTCCCAGTAAAATCCATAGCCTAATTTTAGCAGAGTCTGTCCTCTGGCTGCTGGAGATAAGGGTCTCTTTAAGTACTGTCACACCAGACCAGTGGTTTCCACACTGTGTTCTGAGTTGATAGTTGAGTGATCTGACTTTGTGATTTACTCTTATCTTCCTTTGCCACTTTTATGGCACAAGAACACACAAACACCTCCACAGATCTTATTTTTTCCTTTACTCTCAAACCCTTGAGATGTTGCACATACCACATATCCTCTTTCACCTGTAGTTCATCCCAATTCACCATAAGTAAGGCTTTTTGTGTTGCTAGGGTACTACAAAAGCTATCACCTTTCCGTTGTTGCCTTACTTTGGTTTCCTCCAGAAAAATATTCTAAAATAAAGATTCAATTGCAAGTAGATTTAGCAACTCTTATCTCATTTTCCAGATGATGTCACATGGCCTAATTGTGCTGGTGATCATTCAAGTGAGAATTTAGTTTTCCTACCTGCTACCACGTGAAGCAGCAAGAGCAAATGAGGATAGGAGTGAATATTGGCTCAGCCAAATAACAATGTTTGCCACAGAAGGTATGCAAAAAACATTACCCAACTATACATATAAACACACACACTCACACATGCATGTCACTGCATATGTGGTTTATTCTATCTTCTGTGTATATAACAATGTTTACCCCTTAAAATGTAGAAAGAGTAGGGGGATAGTGGTTGGTAGAGGAAATGGTAGAAATTATAAAAGTAAAGATATTTGTCTGTATTTAGGAGAAGTGTTAGAGATGGTGGATGTGCTTCCCAAATACTAACAATGGTTGATGAGTTTGGAGACATTCCATACAGATTTTTCTTTCTTTACCTAAAAGCAGTTTTAAACAGGCATGAGTGAAAAGCCTTTGCACTTTATCACTGAGAAGCTGCTAAATCATAGAGAAAAAAAATCACAGGAATGCACATTTTGAGAAATGGTGAGGGTGCACACAAAGATTGCTCAATAATGTTTACTGAACTGAAATGAGTTTTACAATTCTGTTGACGTGAGTTGCTTGGACTAAATCAGGAAGTTCTTCATTTCCTCATTAGGAAACTATGAATGGTGAGCTTTACTCACCTGATTGCCTTTCATGTCCTAGAAATTGTTAGTAGTCTGCAAAAACTCATTTTTAAAAAGTAAAATAAAACAACGTAATATTAAACATATTAGATTAGGAAAATCACCTTGAAACTTGGCCTTAAAAAGGTAAACTCTTTCTGTATCTTTTTCTAAAATCTAACAATTATTAGCCCTCTCTCTTACAACAGCACAAATGTGTGTACCACTAATGCCCAGAATTTTTTTTTTTTTGATGCTGTTTTTCATTGAAGGGAATCATGACTCCTTAGAGGGTAGCTGTTTCAATGACTTGAAGCAGGAAGAAGTTAGGATTTGAAGCAATATGTCTGAAACATACAGTTTTTGCCAGAGAGAAAAGATGTTTTTACAAATGTCAGGGGGTAAAGCCTGAAAGGATAAAGGAGCTATTTAATGAAAAATCTACTGTTTATTAAAAATTGAGCATCAAATCACAATAATAATTATTAATTGACATACATTGTATGAAAGCCTATGAATTCACAATAACATATCAAAAAGAAAAAGTTGTGTGAAAATTTGAAAACAAAAAAGCAAGAGAATATAGCAGAATAGGATTATGTTTCAAAAATAATTTTAATAAGTAGAGAACAGTTTTGCTCCTTCCATTAAACGTATGAATTTTACAAATTATGGTGACGTATTTTTCTCTCTGGGTAAATATGAGTAATACAGAGAACAATGTGTGAAACAAATGGTTCCTGGAAAAATAGGAATAAACAAAAAGTACTGATCAGTACTGGTGGCTACCCATAATCAACACCACTAGTCAAATTCTCAATAACCACATAGAAAGAGAGTTTAAGTGTATATACTGAGGTAAGTGTCTTACAGAGGAACTTCATCTTCACATGATTTACCCTTTATCTCCTAGGACATGAGACTTCTTGATGACTCTACTAATTATAATGAGATATAATTGGAAATTTATCTTGGACCCAGCTTAGCTGTCCCCAGATTTCTGACCCACAGAAACTGTGAGATAATAGTTTTGTTTTAAGCCATTAAGTTTCAAGAATAATTTGTTATGCAGCAATAGTAATTAGTACACCAAGAATGATAATGTTAGGGAAATGAAGTTTAGGTGTATATTTGGCCCATATCCCAATCAGGAATCTATTGACAGATAGTGCAGAATTAGCTGCTTAGGCTAGAAATAGAACTCTTTTTCGTTTGTGTCTGTTAAGATTTGTGCTAGGAAGTTTTGTCTGCTAACCTCACTCTAACCCATAGATAAGAATAAGCACAAGCAATAGAATAAGAAGAGAGCTAATAAAGAAATAAAATGTGGATTTTAAATTCCAGAAAAAATTTGAAATGCTTTAAATTTTTTGGTTTTTGTATAAATGCAATAATAAATTCAAATTATTGTTATTTTGAGCATGTGCTTTGTCTATTAAGGAGTTTAAAGCATTATCAGGAGATTATAATATAGTAGATTTGTTTTAAATTGAATTTTACAGTAATACAAGTAAATAAGTTTGTAGTCAATGTTCAAATATTTGGATAAATGTTGATTTATTAATTATGTAAATACAGTGTAGATATTTACAGGAATGATAATTTTTAATGCTTGAAAGACTATTACATGTTCAATGTTTTAATTAGATAAGTAAATTGGACATTAAGGATACTCTTATTGATACATTAAAGCTCCCTGGACATCCCTATGTTGTAAAGACTCAATCCACTTTTAAAATGTAGATTTTATTTATTTATTTGTTTGTTTACTTTTAAAGACAAGATCTCGCTATGTTGCCCAGGCTGGAGTTCAGTAGCTATTGACAGGCACAATCATAGTGTAACATAACCTCTAACTCCTGGGCTCAAATAATCCTTCAGCCTTAGCCTTCAGAGTAGCTGGGGCCATAGGTGAATGCCACTGTGCCCGACCAAACCCACTTTAAGAAACAAATACTTTCTTTTCTGTAGAGAAACTAGAAGTAGAAAATGCTGAGAGTTGTAGGAGATTGTGGGATAATTCATCTGGTGACAGATCCATAGCAACCACTGTCCAGTCTGCTGGGGGCTGACAGCTTGCTCTTTCCCCAGGCCTGAGTCTCATTCTACATGGAGAGTACTAACTAGTATGACATTCATGGCCTCTTCCCATGGTGACATTCATGATCCTCTTCCTTACTCCTCATTACAGAAGAAAGAGTGACTTCTTTAAAAGCTGAGTTTGGAAGGAGGAACTAGGAAGGTGTATTTTAGTCCTCACATCTCTTATTTCTTTTGCGATCTAGCTGCACAGAGAAGTTTGGTTCCTCCTGGCATAAGTTTTACAGGGCAAACCTTCCACTTCGGGATGCTTACGGTAGCCAGTTTTTCTGTGACTGAATGAGTAAATATGAGAAAAGGCCCTAACCTGTGGGGCATTCAAAGTAATAAAAGGGATATTTAAATTTCTGTCTGCTTGATTCTTCTTAATTAGTCCAAAATGAGGCTATGAAAGAGGGTGCTGTTTATTACTCCCATCCCAACATTGTTGTACCTTTAAACCATAAGAACATAGCTTAAAATTTACAAGGCTTTTCTGATTTGAATGTAGTTACTCACAAATGACGACTATTGTGATGTTATGTAACTTCTCGTCATGAATATAGTTCCCCTTCCACAATTTTATATCTAGAGTTAGATTTGCATTTTTTTTTTTTACCACAACAAGCACATATTTTCACAACTTTGGCAGAACTGTGTTATACTTTCCATCATTCTATGATTTCAGCTCCTTACAATATCATTCTTAATGGGTGAACACTGTTTTTCTTTTATTTGTTAATGGCGTTCATGATACCCATGGTTATCATTGCTAAATGCTATTATGATAATTTGTCATTTTTTTCAGGTGGTAAAATGTACTGTTTAATGAGAAGTGTGTTGTTCAATCTGATATACAGATACTGTATTAATTTGGGTTTCCTTAGGCAGAATCTGAGACATAACTTTGAATTATGTCAGTTTATTTGGTAGTGGTGGGGAGGAATCATGGCTTAAAATGAGGAGAATGAGGCAAGAAATGATGGAAAGTTGGTAAGTGATGTATTATTGTGTTGGTATGTACAACTGGAGCTTGATCCTACTGGGGATCCTCTCAGGAGCCATGTAAAATGCACTCACAATTATCACTCCAAAGGACCAGGAGACTGGGAGGACAGGGGACAGGGTCCTTTTTCTATTGACTCTCCTCAATTGGTGGAGGGTTAACTTCCCCCAACTTCTGGGCTGCCTCCTGTGGCAGCATAATGAAGAAAGGTGGGGTGGCAAGAGCAGAAGTTTGAGACAGGTAAAGATGCCTGCAGCTTGCACAAGATCTGTCTTTCCACCACAGCTGCAGCTGAAACCCTCATGTGAACTGACAGGATGTGGTACAAGGCTTACAAAGCATCTGCTCCAAGTATGATTCAGAAAATATTAAAAAGAAGAAAAACATTTGCCACATTCATCCCATCAATATGTGGCTTAACTGTTGGCTTGGTATAACTAAACAATCATTTGCAATGCTTTCAAATTCCAGAACTGTCAGATATATCTGTATGTCTGTATTTTTGTTTTAATCTATATCTATTTTTAGATATCTAATTTATTTTAATCTATTTATCTATGTATCTATATATGTATGTATGTGTCTACTACCTATCCATCTCTCCACCGATCCGGTCAAAATTTTCTTTATATTGCACTGACTTTGAGGGCAGTCCCCAGGGAGGAAACTGAATGTGAAAACTTAAGTTATTTAGGGGTGGATATTAACAAGAACCTCTTTCTTGGAGGCCAGTCAGAATTTGGATGGGATGAGGAACTTAAGCTCTAGAAAAAAAAGTTGTAATTTGTAGGCCAGATTCTCTAAGTCCAGGTTTTTCTGTGCATATTTTTGTTTTGTTATCCTCTGGCATTAAATAAAATCTTGTTGAAATGTTCTAGTTTGTTCTCTATTGTGCTCATGGATATTAAGTAAAAGATTTGATATTCACAACTGGTTCTTAATTTTAAGAGACCATAGCACTTACATGATCTGTTGTGGTAGTAGTTTAAGAGTAAAGGAATCTACAAGAGGAATCTCAAATTCACTACTGTGGAGATTGTCCCTTTTTTGTCTTTTGTTGAGAAAGGTAGCAATTTTCTACAGGGTCTCAATGTGGAAAGTTAAAGGTCTCTTTAAATATTGTTTCACCTTCTACAACAGTTGATTTAGTTCATCCATTTTCTAAATCACATTAATTCAAAACTGTGTTATACACTGAAATAATACATGTAAGGTTTAATTCTTCCCCATAAATTGTTTTATTTTAGTGATCTATTGAATAATTTAGTATCAGGGATGGGTTCAGAAGCTGCTTTTATTAACATTTTCATAAACTGTGGAAAAGAAAATGTTCACATTGAAGTTCCCAAGTTTGCCAGTGACCTTAAGCTCTTCTGGTTAATGAAAATGCCAAGCTGATGGAAATAAACTGCAGAAAGACTTCACGAAGCTACGTTCATGGACGGAAAATTGATATATGAGTCACAAAAGGGACAAAGATAAAATAATGAGCCAATGCACTTAGAAAAAAAATAATCCAAACTATACCGGCAGAGTAATGGTCTTGGAGTTATCTATTACAGCACAGGGATCATTGTGAACTCTTCTATGAGGACAGGGAGGAGTTCATTAAAGGCTGATGGAATTCTGACAATCACAAGAAAGGGAAAGGAAACAAAATAGAACACAATGTCCTCTTACAGAAAATCAAAGTGCAGATGTGTCTGTTATTCACAGTTCTGATCCCTATATTCAAGAATACGATGAAAAGGAAAGCAAAAGGGGTAAGACATCTGAAACAACCAGGAAGAAGGGCCATGCTGCCACATTAAGTGTAAACTAAAAAGATTTAAACTCCAAAATGGAATGGCGAAGTTTGAGAGAAAATAAAGCCAAAATCTTCAAAATTGTTAAAAATTTTGTTTTGTATGTAAAAACCAGGTAATTATTGTAAAAGAGGTAAAAGAAAGAATAAATCAAAAGAATTTTTATTTGAAAGATTCAGCATAGAGTAGATGTATGAAACTAATTTCTTAGAGAGATAGTACCTGATAAAAGTAGAATTTCCAAAAAGAACTTAATAAACTCTTATAGTACGCATTTAAGTTGTTACTCAAGAAAAAATAATGTTTATTGGATTTATCTCTAGCTGTTTAAGCTGGATATTAATAAATTCTCATTTACTATCCTTTGGTGTTCACCAGAAACAGAGGTAAAAAGCATCTCCTCAGGGCCAATAGCTTCATGAATTGAGAAGTTAAAAATGGAGATGTATAATTATTACATGAGTTTCTGAAACATCTGTCACATCATATTGTTTAGTTATTATTGAGACAAGGCAGTGAACATCCAACAGATTTATCTCCGCAAAACACAGAAATATTTCTCAATATTTTTCTCTCTTAAGCAAATCAATTAATTCTCATCTAGGGGATATTAGCTAATATCAGAAAAATCTCTGCTTAAAACCACTTGGAAACTCAGGAATTTCTCTACGATTTGAGTTCATGTGTTTAAAATAACTGGACTACTACCTAATTGTTTCAGTACTATTGATTTTCAATACTTATTAATAGAACCTCAGGATAGAATTAGTCAACTACAGTGTGACTGGCACTTGATGTTATTCAAAAACAATCTTAAAATAGTTAACTTGGCAGCTATGTATAGACACAGTCCACTTCTAAGGAAATAATACTTTGCTGGTTACAATCTATTCTTACTCCTTTACCTGATTTTTATGAATGAACCATAGTAAAAATTTATCTAATGTGGGGAGTCAACAAATACTTTTGAAAAGGTCCAAACAATAAAAACTTTAGGCTTTTTGTACCATATGGTCTCTGTTGCAACTCTTCAATTATGCCATTATAATGTGGAAGCAGCCAGAGGCAATACATTAACAATTAGGTGTGGCTGTTTCTTCCAGTAGAACTTTATTTACAAAAGCAGGCACAGGCCAACCAATAGTAAATACATTAAATTAAAGCTTATATTTCACAGGAAACACCTTTGGCTCAACCTGTGTATACAGTAAACTTTTGCTTTTAAGACCGGTTCTCTGCTGAAGATTACATGTTTAAAAAATAATAATATTTACAGTCAGAGGGCCTGGGCTCATGACTTCTATTTGCTAACTGTATGACTTTGAGGAAGAGGTTTAACTTCTAAGTCTTGATTCTTTCATTCTAACATGATTAATTGTGAGAATTAAATAATTTTAAGGAGAAGGAATTTGTAGAAATATTCTACAAATACTAGTCACTGCTATCGCTACTCTGGGTCACTGGTTAACATGTGCCATTTTCCCCTTTGTGAACAACCCTGTAGGCTTATTAACTCCGTGTACTTCCCCTAAGTGAGAAGTAAGTCCAAGGAGGATCTGATATAATCCACTTCACTAAAAAAAAATTAAATTATCTGATAATTTTAAGATTTTATGAAATGCATGTTTATAGAGGAAAAAAATCCTAAAATATGTAAAAAGAGAAAATAGGAGTTGTAGTAGCTGACATAAAGGATAATAGGAATTTAAGAGGAAAAGGATGAGAAATTAGAGAAAATGAAAGAAGTGGAAGATGAAAGATAAGAGGGAAAACCAAAATAGAGCCAATAATGGGAGTATAGGAGAAAAATAATAAGGCACAGTTGATGAAAGTAGGTCTAGTTGAAGGTAGGTATCAGAGCCTACAGGCAATGCACTGAATAGGAAGCTTGCAGGCCTGAATGTTTCTGTTCCCATTACCAGGGTGACCATCTTATCTCCTACGTTTTCTTTAGTTGTTACACTTGAGACCTTCCCATGTGTCTCTGTATTTACTGACAGATATCCAAAGATAAGGTCCAGGGAAGCATTTCAAATAAGAGCCCTCGGGTCTATTGGCTCTGCATTTCTAATCAGAGAACACTTCCTTGACAAAAATCATGACCGTGTGCCCTGACTACAAAATGAGTAAAGATAAATGAAGATTAAATAACAGACTTGTTAATCAGGATTTGGGGTAGACTTAAATTTTCACAGTCCATTTTCTCACTCTCAGTTTCTCGCTCTCTCAAGCCTGTATTCCTGCTTATACATTCTCACAACACACATCCACTCCCACGCACGCCTGTCAAACTTTCTCTACCCAGATGGATAAAACGGACTGAAGTTGGGTGCACCAATGTGTCTTTTATAATCAGTATTCAGTGCCTCAGAGTCAGGCAAATGAGGAGAAAATAAAAAGCATACTTTAAAAGATCATAAAGAAATAAACATTCCTATTTTTCTTCCTGTTGTGACTCATGCTATCCTACCTAGGTATCACGCTCATTTTAAGTGGATATTCAGTTTCACCATCTGACAAACAGAAGGTTAAAAGTATGATTGCTCAAGGAGAAACAAACAAGAGGGTTTTATTTTCATCTCAAAAGGAGGTATTTAAAATATGTCTCCTTACCCCCAAACATAGTTATTTTCAGTCACTGAATTATATGTGGACTTGGCTATACCAGCAAAAATATAAAAACACACTTAAGAATTATATCCTTTGTTAATTTGCAATTTTAGTGGATATGGAAGTTTGGACTTACTGAGAAAGGAAGGACAATTAGATCTTGGGAAAAAGTAGATCAGGAGTGGTTTGACAAGAGAAAGGAATTGATTGCTCTGGAGGGAAACACTAAAAATTTTATGAAACACCTTCTACAGCATCCAAAGGGAGGACTTTTCAGAAAAAAATTAAAAGCAGAATATTAATATCATATATATTATTTTCTAAGTTTAAGAATGGAAGGTAATGTGTTTTGGATACTTCCTAATTATCTAGGGGAAAAATATATATTCTGGTGGTGGTACCACCTCTCTTTGCTTTATTTTCAGCAGTTCGGGTAGTATTCTATAATGAAAAGTGGAATTTATTAGACACTTCTCCCAGGACCCAAATCTCCTATCTTAATAAGATAAATTACTTTGTATTATTCTTTTACAGAACTTCTGTTTTTTGTTTCTGAATCCAAAACTCACTTAAGCACCTTCTGGTCAAAGAAAAAAGATTCCTAGAACTATGCTTTCAGTAGGTATATTTCCAAAGGACTAAAATAGTTTGTCTAATCTCCTCTATTTTTAATCCAATAGAAAGAAAAGCAAGAAAGGAGACATAAGTGTTACAGGTTTCCCCCAGAACTCTCCTCACTCCAGGTCAATTATGGCTGCTACCACCAAATAGAAGTAGATAGCACAGGTATATGCCTTGACCTTTTTATTTTATGATTACAATAGGTTCTCATCTTATCTCTACTGCCCCATGTCACTCCTAAGACAGCAGTTTCCAAACATACCAAGACCACTATTTTAACCTGAGACTAGAAGCATGGAATGACCTGAATTGGATTGAAATTGGTTTTCTCTAGATTGCTTTTTAGATAATTATAGATACCTGAATTAATCAAAAACATGCGCTTAAGCTTTGCAGAGCAGCTTGTCAAAGTCTGCCTGCTTAAGAATACCCTGTTTTTGCTCTTTTTTAAAATTCACTACAGAAGAAACATTCTTCTATGGTAACACATGATGAAAGTGACACTGATTTGGAATGTAAATATATGCAGGGTGTTTTAAACCGACAGCATTTTGTATGAAAAAAATACATTAAAAAATATATACTATCTTTGAAATGCAATTGACAGGATAAAACAATAACAATCATTCTATTCTAATTTCTAAAGTATACATTATAAGGGGATATTCACTCAAAGATATAATTTTTTACCTTGTAAGAAAAATGTCAATATTTTAGTTATGTTTTAGTACTTGACTAAGAAATGAAGCTAGTCGAAAAATTGACTTCTCTTTAAATCAAATCATACAAAATCGCTGATATTTGATTTTTTTAACCTACACAGGATAATTTCATGTAGTTCAATCTAACACATATGTCTTCTTCAAAGAGACATGAACCC